>NC_000003.12:154311634-154614664 GCF_000001405.40 Homo sapiens
CCTTTTGCATTCCATACGAAGGCAGCTTTTCTCTGAAATGCTGAAATTTAAAAAAAGTTTTAAATTTTCACAGAAGATATGTAATCAAATTATAATCATGGTATTTAGGATACATCACAGGGTAAATTGGCTAGAATCCGAAAGTATTTTTATTATCTCATGGCTTGTGTAAAAACATTATAAAGAATAATTTACCAATTCCTTTTATGTCTGAAACATTCAAAACCAGAACTCCATTACATCCAGCAAAATAGAGACAATGCTTTAAGTCAGTGGCAGTAAAATGAAATCGGATCTGTCCTCTAACAGTATTCTAATAATTGCTAAATTACTTTCACTATTTTTCAATATGTTTTATATATTCATCTTAGATTTGATTTCTATATTATGTTTTTCCCACCCAACAGTGCACTATTTACTAATACATTAAGTACTGGAGCAGAATCAAAAATTTCAGGATATACTTGCCTTTGAGTGTAAGAGAAAACTTAAAACAAGTAATATCTGCAGTCAGAAAATCTGGTACTGCCATTTTAGAGCTGTGATCTCAGTTAAGTCAAACTTAAAGTATGAATGCCTCAAAGATTTTATCTCATACGGTTGCCACAAGATCTAAATGAAAAACCTTTATATAAAAAGCAAATACCAGTTTCTGAAACATATAAGCTACTCAATGAATTTCAAATGTGTTAAATTACAATTAGAATACTACAAAAGGAATGACTATTTTTCCTATATTTATGTGACAATTTCTTCCTAATTCTGAAAACTTTTATGGAACTCTATACCCGTATTACATAAAAACATTTAAGAAGCAGTCCTGTAGTTTACATTCAACTAGGTACATATAATGTAAAAAAAAAACTTCAGTGGCATAAAAATAAAGTCAGCTTTAATAAACACCCTTTATTAAGATGGAAAAAATCGGCTGGGTATGGTGGCTCACGCCTGTAATCCCAGCACTTTGGGAAGCCGAGGCAGGCAGATCATGAGGTCAGGAGTTTGAGACCAGCCTGGCCAGCAAGGTGAAATCCCGTCTCTACTAAAAATACAAAAAGTTAGCTGGGCATAGTGGCACACGCCTGTAGTCCCAGCTACTTGGGAGGTTAAGGCAGGAGAATTGGTGGAGGTTGTGGTGAGCCGAGATCGTGCCACGGCACTCCAGCCTGGGTGACAGAGCAAGACTCCATCTCAAAAAAAAAAAAGGAAATAATTAAAATATATATATATATATATATATATATATATATATATATATATATATATAAAATAAATAAAGAACTGTCTTTGGTAATCTAGTATTATATTATTGCCATGTTTGTTATGGTCAGGTAATTCTTACCAATACCATAAAAATAACAGTCAATGTGAAGACTGAAATGAATTCTAGTCATTTAAAATAACAAAAGCTACCACACTTATCTTACCTTGTAATAACTTACTTATCTTGTAATAATTTTTAAATTATCTAAAAACTATTTTTAATGACATAAGTATTAACACCCCAGGTAGTCAAATGTTACCATCTTAACACATAATTATACACAAGCTATCCCACTGCATTTCAAACTGGCATTAATCGTATTTGCTTTATACATGTAAATGCCACTGGAAAGAGAGGTATAGTCCAATATTCTTTCCCAAGGCAGCCAAAGTTTCTACTTTGTTAACTTTTGACCATAACGAAGATGTGAGATAATTCAACTATAAGCTCTCTGAGGACAGGAAATATCTTATTACTCTTCAAAAACAGTAATAAGCATAACTGGCTGGTGTGGCTCACTCCCATAATTACAGAATTTGGGGAGGTGGAGGTAGGAGGATTGCTTGAGCCCAGGAGTTCAAGACCAGCCTGGGCAACAAAGCAAAACCCTGTCTCTACAAAAAATACAAAAATTAACCAGGCGTACTGGCACATGCCTGTAGTGCCAGCTACTCAGGAGGCTAAGGTGGAAGGATCACTTGAGCCCAGGAGGTCGAGGCTGCAGTGAGCCATGATGGCACCACTGTACTCTAGCCTGGGTGACAGAGTGAGACCCTGTCTTAAATATATATATATACATACACGCACACATATATAGCACAGTAACTGGCATCCAGTAAGTAGAAAATTAATGTTTATTAAAGAACATAAAGAAAAAATATTGCACATGCTAAAAATGATTAAAAAGCTGAGTTGTTAAACACAGCTGAATTTTAGATCTGATTCTGTTATGAGCTATGCAACCTCAGGTAGGTCACTTAAATCTTTTTCCTCATCTACAACAGACATGTAGTCTCTTATTCAAGGTTGTTGAGAAGCTTAAATAATATAGTACACATGAAGCATTTATGACAACATATGGGAAATAGGAAGACCACCAACTTTTTAAATGTTTTACACATTTTTCTTTCTCTGAACTAGATCAATCACCCATCTTTAGTATATGAGTTCTGTCCATCATATACAGCAAAGAGAAAGACACTAATTCCTCCTGTTAAGGCTGTTAAAGCAGCTCTTCTCAACCAGAAGATTCTCAATTAATTCATCCTGAAATTTCCTCCATTTTCAAATCACATTTTTACCCAACAGGCATCAAAGAGCTACACAATTTGGCCCTGGACAACCTCAGCTTATCTATTCTAATACGGAAATCCAACTGTCATCAGTAACAGTCAATGGATCCTTTCTTTCCTATTAAGGAAATTCAGCTTTCATCAGTGAGCCAAGGGATCCTTTCTTTCCTATAGGAGGTGCTATATCCTTCCTTTATCAAAGACAGCAGTATGTATTTACATATTAAAGATATGGCCCTCAGAGTTTCCTCAGTAATTTCTCTTAAACATATACATACATACATGAGACCACTTTATTACATCTCTAGAACACCCACAAATCACACAATTTTATGTTTTAACTGAAAGGGACCTTAAAATATCTTGCCTAGCATAGAAAGAAAATATCAGAATTCAGGAGATCTCAGGTGTTGTGATAGTCCTGTATTTAAAATGTTAGTGAACAAAGCACATCACATAATTTTTGAAATATTTAATTTTATCATCTATAAAAAGAAGATGTATTAAGTAATCTGGAACAAGCTTTACAATTTTAACTGCCTTTACTGCACATGGCACCTCACTAAACTGGCCTAGAAAAGCTGAAGAGTAAGTTTTTTTTTCATTGGCACTAGCATTTCTCAAACATTTCTTCTCACCACATAAGCTTCTGTGGATGAGATAGGATACTGTAGGTTATGTGTAACTTCCATTCCCACTGCTTTTCTCTACCATTCGAAAAGAAATTAATTCCCACAGGGATGTCTTGTTGAGGATCTCACTGATCTATGCCATGCAGCTACCTCTAACCATACATACATTTTTATAAAGTGTAAGAAAAAAATGACAAAATATTTTTTGACATCTTTCTACTACCTGCATTTCAATATACCGAAGGTCATTTTTTTTCTTTTGTAAATCTTCCAATAATTTTTGGTCTAAAGTTCCATCTGGTTCATTTTCTTGCAAGAGATACTCAGAATCTCGGTCAATATATGATCTGTTCCTGATTCTAAACATTTTTTTTTCTTGATTTATCAACTTCTTTTCCTGGATGTCAAGTTTGTTCTCTGAGCATGGTGTGTTCTTAGTAGAAACTTCAGTACCGTATCTGTTTTGACAAAATAAGAAAGGAAGAAAGGTCAGATGAGCCACTCAAACACTGGAACAAAACAAAACAAAACAATACGCTGTTGAAATATTTCAAAGTCATCCAAATCCAAAGCTTTTCTTTTCTCTTAGTACAGTAATTATGAAAATATACTTAGATTCTTATAATAAATTCAAATTTTTCTTCCCTTTAAATAGATATTGCCAGATTAAGTTATTCCTTGTGATAGTTAAAAATAAAAATCCACAGAATAGTCATTCCTTCACTGCGGTTACTTACAGTGTTTCTCTTTTTCTGGATTTCTCGAACTTGTTTTATGTCACAACATCTTTTTTTCTTGCCACCCTTTCTGAGCTACAAATAGGATGCTACAATACACAGTCTTTGAAATACTTGTACTAATTTTTCCTCTAAATGATACAGTTCTTGTAATCTTTCTAAAACGGTAGCAATTTCACTTCTTGCAGATCTCCCAGACAGAATAATTTCATAAATACAAAGAGGACAGGTAGGGAGAACAATAAATAACAACTTAATACATCTCATATCCAGATACACTATTATTCATACCATTTAGCTTTCCTATGGAAACATGCCATCTAAATTTTTAAAAGTCATTTTCTAAATCTGTTTAATCTACATAAGGAAAAAAAGTACGTAAAGGTTAAAATTCACTTATCGAAGAAAATAAAGATGTTATTTTTATTATTAAAGTGTTACTCTTTGCCTATTCTTTAAAAAAATATTTCTTGTCGTACCCATGATCCTCAGGAGCAAACCAGGATATCTGTGCTTCTGACTCTTTATCATTCTTCGCTTGAACAGAATTCAGTAACTGTACAATTTGTTCTTCTCGTCGTTCATCCATGTGTACTACAGCTCTCTAGTTTGTGCAAAGAAAAAAGCATCCTTGTCAACATAAGAAAGCATATGCAAAAATTATTTGATACTGAAGAAAATAAAGGCTAAGTAATATATGTTCAACAAATACATATAAAAGAAAGTTATCCACAGGTGTCCTCTAGCCCAATACCCCCCTTCCTAGACCTAATTAATTGTTAAAATTTTCGTACATATCCTTCTAGACCTTTTCCAACAAGCATTTATAAAATTAGCCCTAATATGATTGGCAAAGAAAGCTCATTTATGTCTCTTCCTACAACTCTGGTTCTCTTACCCCAAACCCTCACATACTAATTATTATGAATTTCTCCTTATCTTAAAATTTCAAAGTTATTAAAACTCAAATGGTTTACGAAAAAAGTTGAAAACTGGAAATAGTTTGGTTGTAATGAACATTTGAAAGTTCTTACACTAAACAGAAGAATAAATTGGTAAGTAAGGCTGAGCTCAGAAGGAGTAAATAAAATTCATCAGTGCTTATAAGGTGATCCAATGTGGCAAATGACGCAGTTGCTTCAAAGAATGAGAATAAAACACAACAGACTGGACAAATATAAAGGTCCTTGGTGAACTATGAAACTTTGCAGAAACTTTACGCATCTAAGAAATGTCCAAGGTGAAAAAAAAAAAAAGAGAATGAATGCCAAAACCCAATTCTTTGGAGACTTTTATATTTAGATATAGTAAGTTGAAAAGTTGAAAAACAGATTCTTCAAAATTTATGGGACTACAAACCTTAGGTTCTAACGTGCATATAAATCCACAGGCAAAAGGAAACACACGCGGAGTGGTGAAAATTAGAGTGTGTTAGGTTAAAGAACCAAAGGAGGAGGAAGGTAAAAGTATAAATGGAAAGAAAACAGTCAAAAATCGAAAGAAAGAAACCACAGGACTTAATGACTATTTGGTGGAAGTTGGGGAGAGACAAAAAGGAAGAAAGAATCAAAGAACTGTTTTCAAATTCAAGGGTGGATCCTGAGAGAGCAGCAGTAAGATGAATCATTAAAAGGAAGCTGCTCTGTGTTACTGTACATTTTTGTGTACATGTGGTGGTGATGGAGGTCACAATAGGATGCTAAGTTTGGATTTTAGGCAATTAAGAACAAAGATGAAATTTCCCGACTTGTAATAATGACTAGGTAGATGAATATATGGAAATTGATCTCTGAGAGGTTTTGTTTTTAGAGTTATGATAGAAATTTTGGAGTGTTCTGCAAAGTTGAAATCACAGAGACACAGGAATTCTCTTAATTTACAAATAATACCACCTCCAAAGATGAGGACAGACGGATGACCAAGTCTGGCATTCACGGGGCCAAGGCAAGAAAATAAGTCAGAGGAGTAATCAAGAGAACAAACAAAAGACTAGGAGCACACAGTGAGAAAACCACTCCTATGAAGTGAAGAAAGGTGTTAAAAAAGGACTCAGAAGTATAAAATGGACGTAAGTAAGGCAGAGAACTGAAAAAATTACTACTGTATCCAACAACTAGGCAGTTGGGAATGATCTTCAAGGTATTTTTGGTTTTTGAGGTTTGGTTTTGATTTTTGGGGAAAAAAGAGGGAAGCAGGAGCTAGGGTAAGGAGACTGATGAAAGCAGACAGCAATGTGTAAAATACTGTAAAATCTAGAGCAATAGATTTCAATTGTTTATTTTTTATAGCAATCCACAGTAAAACTAATGACCCAGTACACACATATACAAGTAATTTCACAAAATACTTCCCTTACTCTGTACAGTGCAACTCTTATCTTCTCTTCACTGTATTCTATCCCAATTAAACAAACACCAAAATAGCTGGTCACAACAAAGTTTAACATAAAGTTTGAAAACCCAGGGTGGGTAGAGGAGTATGTGTCCCAGGAGAACAAGACATAAGCATCTTTAAGACAAGAGACAGGGTTTTGTAAGACATTCTAATTCTAATCAGTATTACATGCTTTGTGAAAGCTCAAATAAGTTTACATGGGTAGGAGGATAACCTAATGTAATAAATATGAGAAATCAGTGATAAAACAACAAACCTGAAGAAGCAAAGCAAATGAACTATATGTTACCTCCTTTTTTGAAGTGAAAATGAGTGGCTAATTTCAGTTGTCAGGACATAAAATGTCTCTACTAAAAGTCCTCTTAAGGTTTTTTGATGTATCTGTTTAGTTAGAATATAACCTATATCTGCTATTCCTACAGTTCTCACTTTTCCATGTTAACTCATTACTCTATATTTTGTTTAGTAAACAATTTCCTAGATTGACATTTCACAATACATTGCCCACTTCCTGCCCGTAACAGCACAAAAGATTATTCTAATTTTATGAGATTTCACGCCCCCGGAAAAGGTGAATTACTGGATAACATAACAGTCTACTGAAAATAAACAGATCTACACAATCTTCCAGTCCAAACTATCACAACAAAATTCATTTTCATTAAAAAGTCAACATCAGTTGGTAGACTTTAAGATACCTTACACAATGCATATGTACCAAGTAAGCATCTGCTAATCAATAAGGAATTAGTTGAATTGTAGTACACCCAGTGGTTAACAGTGGGTAGATCTTTCTGCAAGTATATAAACAGGAAAGATGACCAAAGTATTAAATAAGTCAGTTGTGTAGTAGGATCTTGTTTTTATTACTATTAATTTGAAAAGAGGTTATTCACTCTCCATATCCTATACTTCTTGCAGTGTCTCTGCCAGATATAATTCTGGTACATGGTATGTGCCCCAGAGAAGTCTGTCAATGGAAGGAATGAACAGCTGAATCTTTTACAATGAGCATGTATGATTAGCCCTTGAAAATGTAATTTACACTCTAAATAAAAACATTTGTATTTTTAATGATGTTCTCCCCACAATGAGTTTCTGGATGCTGCAGGTAGCAGAGAACATACCTTAATTCCAAACTTGGATCTTGCCTTTTTGTAGGATGCCTCTCTCCCCCTCAACAACCTTCTTCTAGTTCTACCACGCTTCACTTTATTTCACTCCTTGCCTGGAGAATCTCAAAACACATTTTTTTCATGACTATTTTCTTTTATCATAGAATTTTGATTATTTCCCACTTTCTTGGACATTCTCAAATACCCTGCTTCTAGTTTTCAGTTCCTGGCAAGAAACCCTAAATGATGTCCATCAAATTTATGTTATCAGCTTTCTAATTATCTGCAACTACTTCACACTGTCTCCCCATTCTCTGTAACAGGCCAATACCACCCTTTTGTTTGCCCTCAGCATTCACACGCAGTTTTTCACAAAACAAAAGCCCTAAGAAAAGGTCCTCAGTTGGTTATCACCAAACCTAAACCCGCCTGTATCAGAATTTATCCTTTTCTCTTTTCTTTCTTGTTATAAAAGAAGTGCATTTTAAAGGCTAACCCCTCAACCTGAGCTCTGCAGTCCAGTTCCTTTCATGTCCTCAGGGCCACCTCCTTCACTGAAATTTACCTTGCTTTCCTAAATTTCTAACCTCTCCAGTAGACATTAGGCAGTCAACCGATATTCTGGTTTGCTTCTTTTAGTAATGTGGTAGAGAATCAAACCTTGCTTGTTATAAACCATTAAGATTTGGGGGTTGGTTATTACTGCAGCATAATTTGGCCCACTTTGATTTGCCCACTTTGATTTCCTCTTCACTGGGTGCTTCCCTCAGGGCATGAACATGGTCAAATCTCTTCACCTTAAAAACAAAAAACCCTCTCGTGAATTCCCCTACCCCTATCAGCTACGGCACTATTTTTCTTCCTCATCTTCACAGCAAAACTACTGGAAAATGTTCCACTTCTGAATCTCTGTTTCACTTGCCACCCTACCGCAATCTGGCTTTTACTTCCACAATGCCACAGAAAGGACTCCCATTAAGATCATCAACGACCTTGTTGATAAATCCAATAGACATTCTCTGCTCTTACATCATTTGTGCATGCTTGCCACTATCAATTACTTCTTGTTGATACGCTCTTCTCTCCTTTAAACACTACTCTTAGATTTCAAAACAACACACACCTTATTTTTCTCTTCTCTAGCTGATCTTTCCTAGATTATTTTGTAACCTTCTTTTCCTCAGCCTGTCCTTAAATTTTCATTTTCCGTATTTGACAGCCTGAGTGATCTACAGACCAGCAACACTGGCATCACCTGGGAGCCTGTAACAAAAGTCGAATCTCTGATCCCACCAGTGTCCTACATTTTAACAAGATGTCAGGTGATTCCTATGCACATTCAAGTCTGAGAAGCAATGGTCTATAGAATTCAGGCTGGGCCCACTCTATTTCTGACTGTTCACTCCCACACTCCAACTACTACCCATGAGCCCATTAACTGTCAAATACTTATCTCCAGTCTAGATTTTTCTAGGCATCAGATCTACACAGCCCTCTCCCTCCTGCAAATCCTCATTTGTATGCCCTATAACAATATCAAACTCATAGTGTCCATAGCTGAGCCTTCTTCCAACAAGCCTGATCCTTACAGATAGGCATAAAAGAGTCATCATTAACACTGTACTCGTCCCTTCAGATAAAATACATCACAAAATCATTTTGAGTCTACCTCCTAAATCACTTTAATCTGTCCACTCCCCTCCATCTCCACTGCCAACGTGCTAATTCAAGCTGTCATTTCTCACCTTAGTTACTGCAAGGGCTACTTCACTGGTCCCCCTGAACCAGGATTACCTCTCTTCAATCCATTCCTTATACTGCTACCAGAGTGAATTTAAACATTTAAAATCCAGTCATTTCATTCTTTGTTTAAAATGTTTTAATGACTTGCTACAGTCCTTAGAAAGACTCAATGTATCTCAAGGCCCCGCGTATTTTTCTAGCCCAGAGATTTTCAAATTGCTGTTTCTGAAATTATATTAAAGGATCATGACCAGCATTAATAAAAAGAGAACAGAGAAGTTCAAAAGCAAAAAAACCTCAAAGCAATGTGCAGATAATTAAATATTATTTTACAAAACTTTTCATCTAGTTATACATATGTGTGTACTGGGTTGTAAATTCAAATACATTCCTTTTTGGGCAAAGTGGCCAACAAGTTTGAAATTGACTGCCCTAACCTCATCTCAATACACTCCACATCCATGTTCTTATCTTTTACAGTTTCTCGAACTGAAAATGTGCTTCCTTGATCTCTATGTTATGGCACATGCTACTGCCTTTGCCTGGAATCTTTTCCAAACCCCAAACTTCAAACACACACACGTACATTCACTTTGTTATCTTTCAAGTTTCAACTTAAGGGTTACTGTCCCTGAAAAATCTTCTAAAATACCTTGCCCTGAGTTAGGTGATAGCCCATATTCTCTAATACCTTAATACTGTATTCTATTTATCGCTCCAAACACACCACAATCTCTGTAGAGCCTATATCTATTTTATTAATTAATACAGTGCTTAAGATACTGTCACAAAAATAATGTCCTCAATAAATATTTGTTGAAAGAACATTTGTTCAAGAATGCATCATTAGAATGCATTCATTTTCAGCCAGGCGCCATGGCTCACGCCTGTAATCCCAGCACTTTGGGAGGCCAGGGCTGGTGGATCACCTGAGGTCAGGAGCTCAAGACCAGCCTGGCCAACATGGCAAAACCCTGTCTCTTCTAAAAATACAAAAATTAGCCAAGTGTGGTGGTGCACACCCGTAATCTCAGCTACTCAGGAAGCAGAGGGTGCAGTGAGCCGAGATCACACCACTGCACTCCAGACTGGGCAACAGAGTGAGACTCCAACTCAAAAAAAAAAAAAAAAAGTCTTCATTTTGAAAACACATGACATGACTTTAAAAGTGAAAGCTACCGAAATTCTGACTGGGAAACAATGATATCAAGCTAAAGGTGGTCAAAGAAGAGCTGGGACGAGCCCATTGAAAAATACTCCTATTTAAACAAGAAAGAAAGGTACATTTTGGACAGGAGAACAGTATGACACTGTAATGAAAAGTAAAAATAAAGTATGCCTAAAAAAACTATAATTATATCAGACTGGAGACATGGGCTCAGAGAAATGTGCACAGCGGTAAACCTGTTACGTTGAAGCCGTATTACCAAGATTTCCAGAGAACATGTCAAGATGCAACTGAAATATATCAGACTGAGACAGAAGTGACATGACTTCCAATCTGAAGTTGTGAATTAGGTAATAAAATGATCTAATTTTTCCTTTTAAAAGATCACCATAGGCGGCTCTGTAAAGCACAGACAATGCAGAGCAAGAATGGAAGCTAGATGACTAGTTAGAAGGCAAGAACAGAAAACAAACAGTGGCTTGATCTATGGTAACTATTCTGGAGGTAAGTGGTTAGATTGGGATATATTAACAAGGCAGAGATTTGCTGAAATGAAGGGGAAGAAGCAAAGATAAATCTCATTTGGCCTTGCCAAGTGAATAAATGGTCGTGTCACCACTAAAAGGAGGATGGGAACGCAAGTAGAAATGAAAAGTTCCATTCATAACATCCACTGCACAACTGGCTATACCCTTCATGTGGAAACAATAATGAACATTTTTTCCTGACTTATTTAACTTTTCATCTGTTTAGGTATTATTTTCTCAGCTAGACTGTAAGCTCTTTGAATACCACATTTCTTCAAGTCCCTGGAGCAATATGCATAAAACCTTGTTTCAAACAGAGCCTTAATAAATAAAAGTTGTAAAGTTACTTAGACGTCCGTATCCTGATTTTCAAGCCAGTATGCCCAACGAAAAAGTTAATTTGGGGCTGTAAAAGAAATGGATTTGTTTTTTAAAGAAAAGTTTAAATTATGAAGATAAATGGATAAGGCCCCCAAAACACCTGAATGAACATGACATGGTTAAAAGAAATAAAAAGAAATGGAACGGTTTAAAAATAGTAGTCTAGGCCTGGCGTGGTGGCTCACGCCTGTAATCCCAGCACTTTGGGAGGCCGAGTTGGGTGGATCACCTGAGGTCAGGAGTTCGAGACCAACCTGGCCAACATGGTGAAACCCCGTCTCTACTAAAAATACAAAAATTAGCCGGAGGTGGTGGCGGACGCCTGTAATCCCAGCTACTCGGGAGGCTGAAGCAGGAGAATCGCTTGAACTTGGGAGGCGGAGGTTGCAGTGAGCTAAGATCGTGCCACTGCACTCCAGCCTGGGCGACAGAGTGAGACCCTGTCTTAAAAAAAAAAAAAGTTGCCTAAATGATGATCTAATTACACTCTATAATACATTTTATAAGGTGCTTTTAAAAAGTCACCAAAGGCCTATACTAAGAAAGTTCCTGCTTAATGATAAAAATTATTTTTTATTAGAATTTTATTTACTAGTCACTCGGAGAACTTTGTTTCCCTTACTACAGATCTTTAAGACACAAATCAACCTGACAATCACCTGAAGAGAGGAGAGTAAGCCAAATCATCTCTGGAGATTCCTTTCATTTTCCTTTTCAAAGAGAATCTGCTCATCAATAGAAATTTCTCCACCCCAACATAAAAAACAAAAACCTAGGTTTGCAGATAATTTTAACACTAATAATAAAAGCTGGACTATTTTTCTGAATGATCCACATCCAAAACAGTGTCTGCCTGCTTTTGTTCCGCGCAAACCTATCTCAAATGTAGAAAGGTCGCTATGTGCTTCTTCACCAGGCAAAGACCTTAAAGTGACAATTATTATTCTAAGGGAAAGGACGGCCAGAGATACGACAACGACACTCCTAATAAAGTTAATTTCGGTTGGAACGTGAACTTAACATTTGCTTTGTCACAGTTCTCAAGTCCTTTAAGCAAAGTATATATTCAGCCTGCATAAATCCTGCCTGTTTTTGGTCAGATGAGCATGGCTAATGTTACGCAGTACACCCGCTACGGGGAGCGCCAGCATAATATATTTGCGCCTCATTTACATTTCACAAAACACGTGCATCACTTAAGAAACAAAACCAAGAAAAAGGGGGCAGCGGGAGAGAGAAGAAAACCTGTGCTGCCTCATCCTCTCCACTACTGAATCCGAGATTACCTCTTGCCTCTCCGCTTCCTTGTTCTTCTGCCCCTGTTTTTTCGCGTACCACATGCCGATTTCGCGGCCTTTCAGGTGCCCGGGATGCCGGCCCCTGCCGCCTCGACCACCCCCTCCGCCGCCGCCGCCTCCTCCGGAGCCTCGGTTACCTCCATGACCCCCTGCTGGCCCCCCTCCATAGCCCCCACCGGAGCTGCGGGGACCCCCATCACGGCCCCAGTTCTGATGGTAGTCATAACTCATTGTCCTGGCAGACTACAACCCGTCAGAACCAGCAACCGCTGGAAATGGCGTCCGGGCCCGGAAGCCACTGTGCGCCCACTTCCGTTTTGCTTCCGTAGCACCGCACAAGAGGGCGGGCCATTTAGCGTCACAAGCAGTGGTTTCTGGTGACGTCACGGGAGGACGACCCCGGTGGTCTGGAGGGTGGCAGGGATCAGGTTCTGTCTGAGCCCCCGAGTTGTTTATCTTTGTACCTCTGGAGCAACAGCCAGCCAAAGGCTCGTAGATTTTCTTTCCCTAGGCCCAGCAAGTGAGCCAATAGCTTTTGGTTTTTACTTTCTTATTCCTGGTAAATCCGCAGTTTTTTTGCACTTAGGTCCTAGGGTAGTAAACGTTGATTGAAACAAAAGAACCCTTGGATCAATTCGCCGTCTTCTAAAGAAAAGTCTCTAAAAAATGAGTTCTTCTAGTCTTGAAAACAGCCTGACAACTATTCAAATATGTAATTTAAAATCCCCTTACCTCCTTGAAAGTGTTGTCACTATTTAGTACGTTTATCCAATAGTGTTAAGATGAGCGTGTCTACCCAAATTCGGTGCAGAGCTCTTAGGCAATGTAAATAAACTACTTTGAAGATTCATGTGTTCATATGAAGCCACATACTGTTTATTAACCAGCACACTGAGTGTTTTGTACAAGCTGTTCTTGAATAATCAAGTAATTGGGCCACACAGGCTTGGATGTACACCAGGAGATATCCAGCTCATGTTACAGTTAACTGATGTAAAGGTGCTGGGAATACTCACTGAACAAAGCAAGTATGGCATGAGCTTTTATTTGCCTACAGTCTTAAGGGAAAGACAAAGGCTATCTTTGTGCAGTGAATTAAGAAAGGGAAATGCTGTATGCCAGGAAGGGGTCTACAATACACCATTGTGGCCTAAAAATTATTTTGAGCAAAGACATTTGAGTTTCTGAAATCTACCTGTCTAAATGCAGAACCACACGGAGGAATTCAAATCAAGCTCCTCCCTGGGAGGGAAACCCAGGAAGACTGACTCTTATCACTGGAGGTTAGAAGCTGGCAACACACTTGAATAGACATTGTCACAAAGCTATCATATCTGGCATCTGTTTTAAGGTGTCATTTATTTTTACTAAAAGTCATTTGTTTTTTCCATACGTGCTGTTTTCCCCTTTCCTTCCCTTTATAAGATGGTAGATAAGTCAGAACTCTACCTCCCTGAATCACCTTTTTCTGTGAACTCTATTATGTATGTGGTTAAGTCTGTCTTTTCTTTTGCTAATCTGTTTTGTCACTTTAAGTCTGGGGCCTGCAAACACTGAATCTAAGAAAGTAGACAAAAAGTATTTCCTCCCTAAGAGCCAAGAGATACTACAGCAAAAGAATTTAATTTTGGAGTTAGGTGAGTTATGCAACAACTTTTGAGATAAGTAGACTTTTGCCAGACTAATGGGCAGAAGAAAAGTATGGCAGGTGAAAGGAACAATGTGTAAAGACAGATAATGATGTGAGACATCGGAGAACTTAAAACAACTACCCTGAATCTTAAAGCCTGATGGGGAAGGCCAAAGAGGTAGATAGGGGTCTGATTATGGAAAACTTATGTGCCACTTAAAGAACAGTGATATGTTTATGCAGAGCAGTGGTTATTTTGACTGCTTCAATTGGAAATAAATAGCGGAGACAAGAGTGGATACAGGGAAACTAGTTAATGTGATGTAGGGGAGGCAAAATGGGATGACAGGGCATTACATGTGGAAAGAATTGGAATCAGGAGACATTAGAAGATAAAATTACTTAAATTTGATGATTCATTGAATGTGGAGAATTGGAAGGGTTAAACGACTCCAAGTTTAAGATTTGAATTATTAACCCATGGGGAGGCACATTGTATCCTGAGATGAGAAACACAGGACAAGGAACATTTTGGGGGTGAGGGGCAGGGCAAGTTAATGTGTTTTATTTTTACATGTGGACTTTGAGGAACTTATGAAACATACAAATGGAGTATCTAGAAAGCAGGCTGTAAGAGTTAAAAGCACAGAGGCCAGGTGTGGTGGCTCACACCTGTGATCCCAGTACTTTGGGAGGCCAAGGTGGGCAGATAACTTGAGGCCAGGAGTTTGAGACCAGCCTGGCCAACATGGTGAAACCGTCTCTACTAAAAATACAAAAATTAGCTGTGCATGGTGGTGCATGCCTGTAATCCCAGCTACTCAGGAGGCTGAGGCAGGAGAATCACTTGAACCCAGGAGATGGAGGTTGCAGTGAGCCAAGATTGTCCCATTGCACTCCAGCCTGGGCAACAGAGCTAGACTCCATCAAAAAAAAAAAAGAAAAAAGAAAAGTTGAAACGTTAAAAGTACAAAGAGAGTAGACTGAAATTATATGTTTTGGGAGTCCTTGGCACATGTGATTAAGGCCGTAGGAATGAATAGTTTCTATAAAAGCATCCCAATTGGGCACTCCTGATGTGAAAAATATGTCAACTGTCTAAGAGATGAGATTGAGTAGGCATACTGAAGATGATAGGGGCAAAGTGGGAAGAAAATGGTGAGAGTGTTATGGGCTAAATCTTTGTGTTCATGCAAAATTCATGATGAAGCCCTAACTCCCAATATGGCTGTAGAAGAGGCCTCTAAAAAATGTAATTAAAGCAAAATGAGGTCATAAAGGTGAGATCCTGATAATAGGTTTAGTGCCCTTTAAAAAGAGACATCAGAGAGCTTGTTCCTCCCTCTCAGACGAAAGGCCATGTGAGGACAAAACAGCAGCCATCCATGCTCCAGGAATAGCTCTGTAAACCAAAAATACATTTTTTTTTTTTGAGATGGAGTCTCACTCTGTTACCCAGGATGGAGTGCAGTGGCACAGTCATGGCTCACTGCAGCCCCAACATCCCTGGTTCAAGTGATCCTCCCACCTTAGCCCCCTAAAGTAGCTGGGACCATAGACGCGTACTGCCGCACCCAGCTAATTAAAAAAAAAGATTGGTAGAGATGGGGTCTTCCTATTTTGGCTGGTCTGGCCTTGAACTCCTGGGTGTAAGCAATCCTCCTGCCTCGGCCTCCCAAAGTGCTGGGATTACATGTGTGAGCCACCGCACATTGCCCCAAAATAAAATTGGAAGCCCTCCCAACCAACTGAATGGACCCGTCCTCTAAGCCAAAAGCATCCTAAAGTAAACCTGACTTGGTCAGGCCATGATGGGAATGGGAGGTTGGACATGCCTCATTATACCTTCCTTCCTTTGGAATCAGGTACAGCTGACCAGTATTAACATTGAAGCAGAGACCTTAAGACTGACAGAACAGACTCTTTGTAGCAATATGATGTCAACATAGTAGTAGGCCCTGAAAGAAAGCATTTTACCCCAAAATATATTTATTTGACATATTTTGAAATGGCCCTTCAAAGCTGTCTCTCATGGGGAAAATCTACATTCTGTAGAGAACCTCCTTCCCCCTTTCCATTTCTTCTCCATGATCCAGAAGAGGATTAACTAAGAGTCTGGAACCTTTTTAAGTTGAATAAGAAATATTTACAATCTATTCTTTCTGAAGCCTGCAACCTTGGAGGTCTTATCAGCATAATAAGAACCTTGGTCTTCACAACTCCTTATCTTAACCCAGACAGTCCCTTCTGTTGTTTCCAGGTGTTTAGATAAACTCTTTCAATCAATCAGGAAATCTTTGAATTCACCTGTGACCTGGAAAACTCCCTCCTCCTTTGAGTTGTCCCACCTTTCCAGATGGAATCAATGTGCATCTTACATGTATTGATTGATGTTTTATGTCTCCCTAAAATATATAGAACAAAGCTGTACCCTGACCACCTTGGATACATGTTCTCAGTATCTCCTGGGACTGTGTCATGGGCCATGGACATTAGCATCTGGCACAGAATAAATCTCTTCAAATGTTTTAGAGTTTGACTCTTCGCTGACAGCTCTCATTAGGAACTGGATTAGCTGGCACCTTGATCTTGGACTTCCTAGTTTCCAGACTTTAAGAAACACATTTCTGTTGTTTTAGCTGCCCAGGCTGTGGCGTTTTGTTATGACAACACAAACAGACTAATATGGAGAGTCAGAGGGGAAGAGAATTAGTGTTTATTTGTCACTTAGCATTTGCTAGGTATTAGACTAAGTGGCAGGCATTTGTGGCAGAATAATGGCCCCAAAGATGTCCTTGTCTTTTTTTTTTTTTTTTTTTTTTGAGGTGGGCTCTCACTCTGTTGCACAGGATGGAGTGCAGTTGCATGACCATGGCTCATTACAGCCTCGACCTCCCAGACTCAAGCAATCCTCTCACCTCAGCTTTCCAAGTAGCTAGGACTGCAGGTGTACACCACCATGCCTGGCTATTTTTTTTATTATTATTATCTGTAGAGATGAGGTATTGCTATGTTGCCCAGGCTGGTCTTGAACTTCTGGGATCAAGTGATCCTCCCACCTCAACCTCCCAAAGTGCTGAGATTACAGGTGTGAGCAACTGTGCCTGGCTGAGATGTTCATGGAAACTCCCTGGAAACTGTGAATATATTACATGGCCAGGGCAAAGTAAGGTTGCTAATCAGCCGATGTGATAATTAATTTTATATGTCAACTTAATTAGGCTAAGGGATGCTCAGAGAGCCAGTAAAACATTATTTCTAGGTAGGTCTGTGAGGGTGTTTCTGGAAGGGATTAGCATTTGAATTCATAGACTGACTAAAGAAGATCGTCTTCATCAATGTAAGTGTGCTTCATCCAATCCATTAAGGGCCCAAGTAGAATGAAAAGGTGGAAGGCTAATTTACTCTCTCCTCTTGAGCTATGACATCCATCTCCTGTTCTTGGACATCAGCACTGTTGGTTCTCAAGCCTTTAGGCTTGGATTAGAACTACACCACCAGCTTTCCTAGGTCTCCAGCTTATAGAAAGTATATTGTGGGACTTCTCAGTCTCCATAATCATGTGATCCAATCTCTCATGATATAGCTCAGTTTCTGTGTATCTATATCTGTCCTATTAGTTTTGTTTCTCTGGGAAACCTGATGAATGCAGCTGACTTTAAAACAGGAAGATATCCTGAATTATCTGGGTGAGCCCTATGTAATCATAAGGGTCCTTAAAAGTGAAAGAGGGTGGTAGAACAGAAGGTCATAGTGATGTGACATAAGGATTTGACTAGCTGTTGCTGGCCTTGAAGATGGAGGAAGGGGTCACAAGCAAAAGAATTCAGGCAGCCTCTAGAAACTGGAAAGAAAATAGATTCTCCCCCAGGGCTTCCAGAAAGAAATACAACCATACTGATCCTTTTGCAGTTCATGAGCATGATGATTGGGTATTCGTGCACATGTGTGAGATGTGCCACCCTCGAACCTTGTTATGACATCGGCACATTGCTCATCTAACAGGAAGAAAAATAAATAAATAAAAAGAAATACAACCATATTGACCCCTTGATTTTAGCCCAGTGAAGACTCTTGTCAAAACATTATGCTACAGAACTGTAAGATAGTAAATTTGTGTTAGTTAAGACTGTAGTAATTTCTTATGGCTACACTAGAAAAGTAATACAATTCCTTATCTCATTTCACACAATCCTCATGACAGCCCCAGAGAAAGTTAGTGTTATCTCTATTTTCTGATAAATTGTTTTACTGCCCTTCGCCTCATGTTTGCTGATCCTAAGTAGATTCTTAGTTATAAATGTAAAATTACTATGTTTTCCATACTTCTTCAGCATGAAGTATTTAAGGTATTGCTTGAGCCTATTCCTTTAGGCAAACACTTTAGTACAAATGTCACTGTAGTAAAAATCTGCACAAAAGGAAGATTTTCAACGAAAGACCTGAAAGATATTGATGGGAAGGAAAATGTCAGTTGTTACCTGCTTTTTCTTTTTTCCCTGCCTTGATCAGAACTGCGAAAATTTTTACATTACCTAATGCCAGAAAACAAACAGAATGGTTCATTATAATTGCCATTGTTTCTCTTACTGGTCCTCTGTTGTGTGCTGTTCTTTGGGCAGGCAACAAAGATGTCTCTCTCAAATGTCCTCTTCATTAATGGTGGCCTGGGCCACAGAATGCATAGCCACTGCTTTCAAACCCACAGCATTTGGTGTCCAGCTTCTGTTCTCCCTATCACACCTGCCATTGCATCTGGAATGCAGCAAAGGTGAGCCACACAGAGCCACACCACCACTGGAAACTGTCACAATTTTCTCAGTTTCAGGGAATCTTTTCTTCTTCATCTTTTTTTTTTATCTGTACCCTGGGAAACAACTCTTATATAACTTATTCATAGGTGTAATATTCACAAAGGCATGGGGGTGAAGGAGATTTTCTTCAGTGTTCTTGGAAAATGAAATCTTTAACTTCTACTTTCACTTGGAGGTGGGGATAGGGACATGAAGATAAAAGTGACCCTACCCTTCTATAGAATATAAAGTCTGGCTATGGGCTGGAACGCCTACACATAGCCTCTCCATTTGGTTTCTCTGTGTGGCCTAGTTTGAGCCTCCTCACAGCATCGCAGCTGGATTCAAGAGCAAATGTCACCAAGCAAGTTGGAAGTACATGACATTTGACATCTTTATGAACTAGTCTCCAATGTCACATAGCATAACTTCCACTGTGTTTTACTAGTTGAGGCAGTTACAGATGTCCACTTAGGTTTAAGGGTGGCTAGGGCCTTAGCACACCGTGGGAGTAGAGCCAAAGTCACATTAGAAGAGCAGGATGCAGGAATTAGAGACCAGCCTGGGCAACATAGGGAGACCCTGCTCTACAAAAAATCAAAAATTAGCCAGGCATCGTGGTGGAAAGCTTGTGGTCCCAGCTACTTGGGAGGCTGAGGTGGGAGAATAGCTCGAGCCCAGGAGATCGAGGCTGCAGTGAGTGCATTCATGCCACTGCACTCCAGCCTGGAGAACAGAGCAGGACTCTTGTCTCAGAAAAAAAAAAAAAAAAAGGAAGAAGAGGAAGAGCATGTGGGATGGAAGGAAAACAATTCTAAAATAGCACTATCCTAGGTGAATCAGATATTTGTTTGAACAAATGCCATGTCTGCCTACTAATTCCATCTGTTTCCCACAAAAAGGAAAACAAAAATTGTGACTTCGTGAGGTCATAGGATTTCAAGATCCACATTAAAGACCCTCTTGAGAGATTTTCATAACATTTTCCTTTTAAAACTACAGAATCTCATTAAATTGGTGGATTTTCCTCACCCAATTTAAGCATGCAATCTTAGATCTTAGGAAAAAATATTGTGAAAGAGTGCTAAGAAATTTTATTTAATGAACAGAACTTTTTAAATTTAAAAACGATAATGAAAATGTAAGGCCTAAAGTTTTCAGTTAGCAAGTAGATAATGTAACTTTGCCACTCTAACTAGGCAACCATGGCTTTGTCTAAACTCTAATATTTTTTGACCCTGACATTAGAAAGTTTCTGGGGCTGGGCACGGTGGCTCATGCCTGTAATACCAGCACTTTGGGAGGCCGAGGCAGGTGGATCACTTGAGGTAAGGAGTTCAAGATCAGCCTGGACAACGTAGTAAAACCCCGTCTCTACCAAAAATTAGCTGGGTGTGGTAGCAGGTGCCTGTAATCCCAGCTACTCAGGAGGCTGAGGCAGGAGAATTGCTTGAACCTGGGAGGCAGAGGCTGCAGTGAGCCGAGATCGCACCCCTGCACTCTAGCCAGAGCGACAGAAGGAGACTCTGTCTCAAGAAAAAAAAGAAAAAAAAGAAAAAAAGAAAAAAGAAAGTTTTTGGAAGTTGTATTTCTACTAAATGGTAGAGAATACAATTTACCTCTGAGGCATGTTTTTTCCCTTATTCTTGAAAAATTACCCAGTGAGACTATGCATATGTGAAGGTAGAGCAAAGATCCTCCTCTGTAACAAAGTGTTGCAAAAACGACATGCCTCCGGATATCTAAACTGCTCTATATGACATTGCAAAAGATTGTGTTCAAAGTTTTTTTGTATTTGGATCTTTGACTGCTCAATTCCGGAAAGTGACTGTGTATTCTTGAGAGGAATGTATGTTTCTATGCGTGTGTATGAATGTTTGTGTATGTGTATTCTCTATGTATTTGAAATTAAGACTTCAAGACTGTAGGAAAGACTAGTAGATATGATCTTCTTTGTATATTAAACTATGAAAGAGATTGTATAAACTAACATACATTTGGAGCAGTATAGTCTGAACTAGAGTGTTGACGTCACAGATTCAGGGTTAAGACCATACAATTCAAAGTTGGGAAAATGTATCATTGTTCAATTACCGTGTGCAGTGCCTCTGCCTCTGCAGCTTATAAAAATGGGCAGGGAGCGCTATTTACATTCTGTTATGGTATAGTATGTGCTTGTCTAGTTGATTACAGGGCATGTAACAGAGACAGGCTAGCTAGCTCTTCACCATATTTTGGGTTCTTCTTCCTGTACACAGCTAGATATATTTCCTAGTCTTCTCTGGAACCAGCTGTGGTTCTGTATTGAGTTCTATCCAATAGCAGAAGCTGCAATGACTGAGGTGCAGTTCTTCCAAGCCAGTCACACTAAGCACTCCAGTGCAGAATCCTTCATGTCCTTTTCCCATCTGTCAGCTGATGCAGATGAGCATAATGATCATAAGAACCGTACATTAAAAATGTAAAACTACATGAACCTAGGCCCCTTAACCATATCTTAAAGAAGAAAGGCCCTACTGATAAGGAACATTCATTTAACTGCTGCTGCTCTCTGCCTTCCAAATCTTGTACAAATGCCTCTCATTTTTAGATGCGAAACCTGAACTTTGCTGAAAAGAGGGTCTTGGAAATAAAGTTTTCTGTCTTCTAGCCTCTGTGATACATAAAGGAGTTGAGAAACATTGAGATATTGCAGAGTATTGACAGAAAATAAATGAGATAATTGTTTTTCCCTTGAGCTACAGACTTCATAGATAGGCTTTTAAAAAATGTGTAATTTATTTCATGTTACCAAGGAAATCCTCTCCACTTATTGAATCAGAATACAATTATGACGCCATCCCGACTACTACCACCCTAAACTTAACCAACATCATCTCTAGCCTGGACTATTAAAATAGCCTAACTGTTCTTTCTGTGGTGGTCTTTGTGTCTGTACAGTCTTTGACCCTTGCAATAGACAATCATTTTTGAAATGAGATCATGTCACTTTTTTGCTTAGAACCCTCCAATGGTTTTTCACTTCATTTAGAACAAGACTAGATGTTCATACCTGGTCTGCAACGCCAGTTTCCTCCTGCCATTATCTGTTTGCCTTTATCTCCAACCACTCTCTACCTCTCTCACTCAGCTGCATTCACATTGACCTCCTTAATGGTTTCACAGATTACAAAAGGCACACTCCTACCTCTGGATACTTGCTGTTCCCTTTGCTGGGACTATGATTTCCCTAGATAATCACATAGCATGTTTCCTCACTTTATTTGAGACTCTGATGAAATGTTACTTTATCAGTGAAGGCTTTTCTGACTAAATTATTGAAAAAAGCACTCTTCCCATCTTTGTCCCTTTATTCTAATTTTATTCTTTGGCCATTGTTACCTCTGGTCCCTATTTTCTGTCAACACACTTAATACCAGCATACATATATATGTACCACACACTTATCACTACCATATGTATATATGTAAATATATAGTAAAGAACTTAACCTATCCAAAGAGAGGTTTGGCCTTTGTCCTTGGCTTTGGGGGAGGTAATTTCTAAGCCCTTGGAATGTCATAGCCGAAAATAGTATCTTTGTTTGTCTGGGGGCCTTGGACCAGCAGATAGTAACAATGTGTTTTTGAGAGGGGAGTTTTGGGCATTCTGTATCAACTTGGCCTCCTGGAGAGCCAGAAAGAGATATCAGTCATGTGAGTAGTCAACCATGCTTACCCTTGCTCCTACCATGATGCAGCCCCAGGAAGGACTCTGGACACCAAGGTTCAGTTGAGATTTTCTGCTTGGCAGTAGTCTGTGCAAGGTGTCACACATCGTCGCCAAAGAAAGTAATGCCGTCCATGACTCCATGGGGAGAGTACCATAGAAGTTCCACATTTACAACTTTTCCTGGACTTGGCTCTATGACCTCTTCTCTAGGCTGATTTTATTCTGTATCCTTTTGCTGTAATAAACCATAACCATGAGTACACAGTTTTCTATGAATTCTGTGAGTCCTTCTAGTGAATTATTGAAACTAGCAGTGGTTTTGGGAATTCCTTGAATTTGCGATTTGTGTCAGGAGTGAGAGCAATCTTTTGTGGACTGTGTTCTCTGACTTTGTGGTTGTCTCAAACTCACAGTAAATGTAAAAACATATATTTGTTTTGTTTGAGTTTTGTTCAAAAGTTATAAAACCAAGTATCTAGAACAATTTTTAGTATGTAGTAGTCATTTATTAAATATTAGAATGAAGAAATGAATGAAGGTAGCTGAAAAGTATAAGAAATTAAGAGAAAATCGATTTGTAAAATCCAATATTATAGAACCACATCAAGAAAAGCTTCCAAAAAATGCATAACTAAGACTCTTTTATTATATTTTTAAGTAATATTGTGCCATTTGCTATCTTCAAAGAGTTGCCTCTGTCAGTCACAACTCTCAGAAGTCTTAGGGATTATATATTAGGTGTTTATACTATTTGGGAGTCTCGGGGATTACGTGTTTGCAGTTTATAGGAGTCACCACCAGATGGTGATATTTTTATTAGGTAATAAGTTTTTGCCTTCAGATACATCAATTTATAGAGAAAAGAGAAAACTATACAAAATATAGTATTTATTAATAAGAAGAACAATATAACTATACAAGGGTAAGGTATTTGGCTATATCACAAGATATCTAGAAAGGTATTTCCTCTACTAGAAACACACTTTTATAATCAATCACTCTAAAGAGTAAGCAGACTTAAGTAAACTTATGTAGTTTAACCTTCTCCTCCCTTAACAAGGATTTGGAGCGTCATTCATGCTTAGGCACAGCTCTAGTAGATTTTTCTTGTATATTCAGCTATTGTTGGCTTGGAGTTTGAAGTGTTACAGGTTAGTAATATGGTGCTGATTAGCCTTTCAAACTAAGACTTTGGGCTAAATAATACTGGTGTTGTTTCAATGCAGCAGAATTTTTATGTGCATCCATTATACAGTTAATTCAACAACCAAGGGCAATTAAATGGGAATATCCTAATTATTTTTCCAATTCCCCCAGTTTAAGCCCTTGTCCAGTTAAAATAAAATGAGACGGAAAATGGGTATTATTGTCTTCTATCTATTTCTTAATGCTCTTTAAACCTTGATTTCTGTTATAATCTCCATCCCATTCAAATTGCTGTGCAGTTATAAAGAATTTGTTTGCCTTCAAATCTTTGCTATTTTCTTCAGCTTTATTATGATCCTGTGTCTAATTTCCTTTTTGCCTGAAATTGCATTTTAAAGCAGCAATATCACCTTTCTCTTTCAGAAAATTATACATCTAAGTTTAAGATATCAAAGCCTATCTTCTACAAAGCATTATGAGAATATTCAATTCAATTTTTCTTTTATAAAGACATTTAATGCTACTGATTTATAATATCTGATTTATCTGTCCATTTGTCACTGTGTTAAAATAGCTGTTAATATTGGTGATACAGTCTTTTAAAATAAAATATATTTGTAACGAGAATACATTTGACTTTGAATTTATATGTTACACATTATTTGAGGCTTGCTTTACAAACATTATTAGTGGTAATACATATGTTTCCCAAATTTAGATAACTAGATATTGAGAAGTTAAAGATTGAGAAAGTCCATTGAGATAATTATTTTGAAAATGACTCATGCTTGTGGCAACAAAAGATGAAACATTCTGAAAGCCGATGTCAAGTAATTTTGAATTCTAATTCAACCTAATAAAACAGAAACCAAAATAAATCATTCTAAAACACAATTCATTCAATCTGTAAATAAATAAATAAAGTATGTGAGTGATGTGAGGGGCACAAAGTCTAAGACTATGTAAAGTGTCAACTCAGTAACTTTGGAAAATAAACTTTTAGGTAATACATTTCATATATGTTTACAGGAAGGTTAGAATAAAGCAATTTGAAGGAAAATCACTTTATAATTTTTGAAATACATCTTACTATTATTCTGCCAAGGTGATTCCTGCATTTTTGCAATGTAATGCATTCTAGAATTATCTTGAAATGTATACCTTACAATCACTTAATAAAATAGGTTCAACTGTTTCTTTGAGACAACACGTCTTTAGAGAAGAAACAAAAAAGCAGCTAAACTTGATATAATATTTGAAGTAAACTTTTCTATTTCAAGAATGACTAAGAAAGGTTGCCCAATCCTCAGCTTTAAAAACAGATACTTTTGTTTTAGACTTAGAGGATTTTGCTCTGCTGTATCCAGAAGCCTACCATGTTTGGATGTACCTCTCATAACTGAATCTGCCAGTATTTTCTCCCAATTTCCACTCAAGTTAAAAAAAAAAACAATTTTAGGATAAAGTATACAATTACACAATTACAACTTTTTTCCAATAATGTTTGAGTTAAAGATACTTCTAATTCCACCTCTAACACACAATATATTTGTTTTATGGGACAGTCTTGACATACTGAAAAGATGAAAGGAAAACTGTTATAGGTAAGAAAAAAAGAAAAAACAGTAAACAATTTATATTTGGTAGAAATGAAGGAAACAACTATTTATAGACTAGGAACCTGCGTGTTTCTCAGTTGGAAGCTAATTTTTCATTTTACAGAAGAATGTAAAGCTAAAGCAGTAAGTGTAATAAGCTTGTTTTGCTAGCCACATTTAGGCAAGTTCCTTCAAATATAATTTGGGGTTTTGTTACATTTCTTCCATTCCCAGAATTCCTCTTTTTTCCCCTTTGCAGTAAAGGCCAACATTGTATATAGAAACATATGCATGGAACAGTATATTCACTGAGTTTATACAATTTTCTGTTTACTAGGAAGTTGACAAGCAAAAACATTGGTAAACTAGGCCAAGATTTGATTTAGAAAATATTTTTTAGAAGTCAGATAAGAAGTAAAATCTTTTCATTACCACAGTGTGTGATCTTTAGGTAACACATCAAATGCACTTAAGTGTTTACACTAGTTCCAGTTGTTCCCACAAAAAAATTAACTATTAAATCAGTAAAACTAATGTAAGCCAACAAATAAAAGGAAATCAGTCTCATAACAAAGGTGTTAGTTTCACAGTTGACGTTGCAGATCCATTCTTGCTCCTGTTAGACCAAATACCCACTAACTACCCTTGCTTTCTTCCTCTCTTTTTCTGTAAGCTTTATTTAACAACTGGATTTCCTCCTGGTAGCCATCCCTCTCTTGATGCTGCCTTTTACTGTTCTGCCTGTGTGCTTCTACTGTGTCTGGAATGGAGATATTAATATCACCATCAGGATTACTGGTGGGCAAAAAGAGGGAGTATGAGGCTGTTTCCCCTAGGTCACATGAAACAAATCTGTTTTCTTTCCTGGAGTAACGTAGGGATGGAGATCTGACTTGTGTGGAGGACTGACTGATGTTACTAATGATTGACACAGTGTCCAAGGCCTCTTCATTATCACAAATTTCAAGAACCTCCAAGTGTATTTTCACACTGGTGTCCACAAACGTGGATGAAGAATCTTCTGAGTTTGGTTCATGGCCAACACTTTTGGATCGATAGACTTCTATTTTCTTAGAGGCTGGAGTTATTTTTTGCCCTTCTGCGCTTACCTCATAGGTAGAAAGAGATAGGGTTTTCCCTGTAGGTGCATGGAGAGACACAGTCCCCTGGAATGCACACAAGGGAATGGCAAGGGCATAACCGGAACGCTGGGGACAAAAACAAAATTGTTATTGTTGAAAGCTAGGTTCTGAGGTTGAGACATTTAGAAATTCATTTTGTTCATCAGAATGATAAAGGTTTTCTATTTCAGATCCATTTCCCTAGAAACATTTTACAGATACGGGATTTAAATACTGCCACCAAAGCACCATACCTCAGTTTCTCCTAGGCCAAATCAGACATTTAATGAGGGTAGTTAGGAACCTTTATTTGAAGATGAGGGGCATATTTCCCCAGTTAAAGGCAAAGGTGTGTACTGATGGGAAGCAATAGATGTTTTCAAAGGCAGAATTTGAACATAAAATTGAATGCATATTTACAATCTGAAATTACTTTTATATTTTTGTTACATACTCAGTTACATTAAAACGTTTGCAAAAGTTGGAAGAAATGTAGACTGTGTTATCAACATGAACTTTTTTTTTCTGTTTAGTATGCCAAAGTAAATGATAATTGTGAAACGGTGGCTTAAGGACAAAAGATACTTCAACTGTTAGAGTTGAGCATACATAACAGGAACCGAATGTCACCAGAACTATGCTACAAAGAGCGTACTTTTCCACAGAGAAATCAGTCATTAAAGTAAACCCAATAATAAAGAATACTATTCCACCTCTTTCAAAAACTTGCCTAAAAGGGTAAACATTTTCTATTATGCTTTATGTATTAAGATTTTTTTAAAACTGTACTTACCACTGAGAGGTGCTTCAGAAATGAAGAAAATAAGATTGATTCTTAAAATAGTCTGTACTTTTTATTGCTGATTCATGTCTTCATACTTTCAACTGACATGTTTTGATTTTTGATTATGTGTTAGTCCCAGAAGATGATAATGTACCAAACTTCTAGAGCAGTAATTCTCAAAACTGAGTTTCCAACCCAGCATCGTCAGCAGCTTCTGGTAACTTGTCAGAAATACAGGTTTTTAGCATTATCCCAGACCTACTCAATTAGGTCTCAACCCAGGTACAGGGTCAAGCAATCTGTATTTTAACAAGCCTTTCCGGTGATTCTGTTGCATAGTAAAGTTTGGGATCCATTGCTCTAACTAAAGAAATGTTGTAGTCCAGAAAAAAAGGGGTAATGGTGGAGATAAACAGACACTTTTTATATAAGTGCTTACCACTTGTAAAACCTACAGTTACTAACTGGACTGGCCTAAATGTGTCTGTCCACCTGGGGAATTGGCATGGGAGATAATGGTATTTTTCCAATTTAGGATGACCAGCTTTCTCAATTTTCCTGGGACTGTCCCATATTTAGCACTGAAATTTCTGCATCCCAGGAAATCCCTCAGTCTTAGTTAGACAAATGGGCAGGAGTCGGGGCAGTGGGAGATTGATCACCCTACTTGCTATGGGCATTTTCAATCTGGACCCAACAGTGGCTAGACGAAGACAGGTTCTCACTATTGGAGAACAGTTTAGATTATTTTCTGTTTAAAGAAGTTTGAAAAAGAATGAGTTTCATTGGGGGTGCCTTCATGCTCTACTTCTTTTTTTTTTTTTTTTTTTTTTTTTTTTGAGACGAAGTCTCCCTCTGTCGCCCAGGCTGGAATGCAGTGGCTCGATCTCGGTTCACTGCAAGCTCTGCCTCCTGAGTTCGTGCCATTCTCCTGCCTCAGCCTCCCGAGTAGCTGGGACTACAGGCACCCACCACCACCCCCGCCTAATTTTTTTGTATTTTTTTATTAGAGACGGGGTTTCACTGTGTTAGCCAGGATGGTCTCGATCTCCTGACCTTGTGATCCTCCCGCCTCGGCCTCCCAATGTGCTGGGATTACAGGCATGAGCCACCGTGCCCGGCCCACGCTCTACTTCTTGAATTGAGAGACTAGAAAAAAATACAGTCTGGGCTGTGTGAGACATATGATCATTCTTTCCTGGTTATTCTCTGTGGAGTGGTCTTGAATTCTCTTTACTCATAAGGAGACCTAGGAACCTAACTGTAGAGCCTTGCACGATAAAGTTTTGGAAATTTTGAAAATTTACACTATAATGTTCAGTCCAGCCGTCTGCCAAGGCAAAGAACTTCATTGACTCTACATGTGTAATGCTGGCTGAAATAAGTGAGACAGAGGGACCACACAGGTTCATCACAGCATCAGACTACTATTAATATTTGAGTGGTGGCAACTTTTGGCAAAAGAGAAGTAGGTTTCATTCCTATTATTATACATCCACTTATTAAACATTTGCTAAGTAAGGATGTACATGATTCTGAGCTTGCATTGGATGTATGGAGATGCTATCTCTTAAGACCCCACAGATGATTGGATGTAAATAAACAAAATAAAAATTTTAGTTCTAAATGTAGTAATTGAGAGATAGTTACCAAGTTCTATAAGGTCCAAGGAATGACTATCTCGGGTAGGGAGATGTCATATTGTGGAGGGGGGACATGTGAAATTGATCTTAAAAATCAAGAAAAGATTTAGTTTTGTTTGTTTGTTTTTGAGACAGAGTCTTGCTCTGTTACCCAGGCTGGAGCGCAATGGCGCCGTCTCGGCTCACTGCAACCTCCACCTCCTGGGTTCAAGTGATTCTCCTGCCTCAGCCTCCTGAGTAGCTGAGACTACAGGTGCGTGCCACCACACCTGGCTAGTTTCTGTATTTTTAGTAGAGACAGGGTTTCACTATGTTGGCCAGGCTGGTCTCGAACTCCTGACCTCATGAACTCCCTGCCTCGGCCTCCCAAAGGGCTGGGATTACAGGCGTGAGCCATCGTGCCCGGCCAAGATTTACAATTTTAAAACCTTGCTTTCTGAGTGATAAACCACAAGTTAAAGGGTTATATTGAAAACTTTCCATCCTGAGAAAACATTTTTGTTATCAAAGACTGAAACAATAGACCCAGGCTGGGGTGCCTAACTTAGATGGGGTGAGAAAAAAGAAGACTTGAGAATCCTTCCCAGAGCAGGGCTCAGTTTTTATAGATAATATCCATATTATTGTCTAACATTGTTCTGGAGGTCCTAGCTGTGCAAAAAATCAAGAAAAAAATAAGACATATATATATATATATATATATATATATATATATATATATATATATATAAAATGAGTAGGAAGAGACATTATTGTAATTTACAGATGAAAATATTATCTTCCTAGAAAATTCTAAAGAAGTAATCTAAAAAAATTAGAGAGTTTAGTAAGGTGGCTGAATTTTAGGTAAAAATGTTAAGAAATCAATAGCTATTGCCAATCAAAAATAATTTTTAAAAGGTACCATCCAAAATAGCAACAATACTATAGAAGTATGTGAGACCTTATGAAGAAAAAACAGCAATAATAAAAGAAGTCTTGAAAAAGTAAGAGAGAAAGAATAATGTTTCTGCATGAGAAAACTATTTCGCAACTATGGCAGTTTTCTTTTAATTTATTGATTTAATACAATATTAATAAAAGTTCCACTGAAATTTTATTTTGAAAGTTTCTCTTAAGATATAGTTGCAGGGGTAAATGCTTGCAGATAACCAAGAAAACTTGGAAACAAACAACAAGGTGGATTCCCAAGTATAATATGTAGCTACAGCAATTAATACAGGGTGTTCATTGCAAGATTTGGTAAATCCATGAAGGAAGACAGCCAGCCAAGAAAGTAGATATAGTATACCCTGAAGATGGCATTTCAAAATAAGCAGGGTAATTATACTTTAAAAACAAACAAACAAAAAACAGAATGAGTTAATCAAATAAACTTCTTACATATTATTAGTTATCCATTACAAAATTAAGTTAGATACCTATCTCATGTTACATGCAAAAATTTTAAAAAATTCTTAATAATTCTTTTAAAGTGCTGAGTGAATAAGACCTTTCCAAATCTGGAATGAAAACTGGAAACCACAAAGTAAAAGATGGACAGATTTGATTGCAAAAAACTTTGAAATGTCTGTATAGAAATATATACTATAAACAAAAGTGAAAGACTAAAGGCAGCTCAGAAGGATATATTTGTAGTCTATATAAAACAAAGTTTAATAGTGATGCTATGGAGAATTCTTCTCAACCAGTAAGATAAACAATCTAGCAGAAAAATGGAAAAGGGAAGTGGGCAAAACAATTAAAGAAAAATGGAGAGTAAACACATAAAAATATGTGCAATTTGACCAATTATTTTATTTTATTTTTTATTGAGAGAGTCTTGCTCTGTTACCCAGGCTGGAGTGCAGTGGTACATGCGATCTCAGATCACTGAAACCTCCACCTCCCAAGTTCAAGTGATTCTTGTGCCTCAGCCTCTCAAGTAGCTGGGATTAAAGGCGTACCCCACCAGGACTGGCTCATTTTTGTGTTTTTAGTAGAGACAGGGTTTTGCCATGTTGGCCAGGCTGGTCTTGAACTCCTGACCTCAGGTGATTCACCCTCCTCAGCCTCCCAAAGTGCTAGGATTACAGCCATGGCCACCATGCCTGGCCTTACAAATAATTTTAAAAGTAAGTAAAAACAATGGTCATTTTAGCTTTTCAGAATGCCCTCCATAAAACATAAACAGAAAAAAACCCCAGCAGAAATAAAAAGATTGATGCCATCTTTAGAGTATATTTTGATTGTGTATTTGACTATAAAATAAAAACTACGTATACTTACCATTGATCCTATGTCTGTGAGTCGGTTCCTCCAAATACCAGAACATCATAATGTTTGTTTATTTCAGCACTTTTGTAAGCCCCAAATTAGAAACAATCTAAAGATCTACATTTAGAAAATAGTTTAATAAATTGTGATACAGTTATGTTCTGAAAAGCTATCTTGAATAGATGAGGTAAGGCTGTAAGTTCTGCCTGGGTAAAATAATTTCCATATATTGTAAGATATAAAAGCAAGCAAATTGCAAAACAATGTGTACAGTATGATCTAGTTTTCTTGTTAAAAATAGTCATGAGAAATCAGCCCAGAAAATTAAGCATGTATAGGAATGAAAATAGATTCACAGACATACAAGCATACCTGTATATGACAGTCATAGAAAAAGGTTTGAGAGGCTACACACCAAGAATTTCTTCCTCTGGGAGTGAATAGTGGCTTGGCATTTCACTTTCGGTATTTCTATATTTCTAAATTATTTTCTTATTATCATGATTACTCTTTTGATCAAGGAAGTTTATTAGGTAGTGAGGGAGGCAGAGATTACAAAATATTACTAGAAAGGCATCCAGGAGGTAGGGGTAGGGTACTGAGTGTGTGTTGCTGATGCTGGATGCTGGTAGTTAGCCTCAGCGTTCATCATCTGGAGTATGTGTTGGGGTTTGTTCTATTTTTAGGTTAAGAGACAGGAGACAAGTTGGGTAGAGGGCACTATTTCAAAAATTTGCCCTAATGGTTTGGTTGACTAGAATGAGAGTCTCAACTGGGGTATAGCTAATTTCCCATTCACATTTGAAAAGGGTGGAGAGGCTGGGTGCGACTGTTCATCCCTGTAATCCCTTTGTCAGTCAGCACTTTGGGAGACTGAAGAAGTAGAATCACGTGAGCCCAGAAATTTGAGACAAGCCTGAGCAACATAGAGGGACCCTGTCTCTAAAAAAATTCTTTAAATTAGGTGGGCATGGTAGTGTGTGTTTCTGTAGTGCCAGCTACTGCGGAGGCTGAGGTGGGAGCATCACTTGAGCCCGGGAGATAGAGGCTGCAGTGAGCCATGATCACGCCACTGCATTCCAACCCGGGTGACAGTGAGACCTTGTCCCCACCGCCCCCCCAAAAAAAAAGAAAGAAAAAGAAAAAATGTAGAGAATGGCACTCATGACTGGAAAGAAATATTTTAAAATTATCTGAAAGGAAAAGTGATTAAATAATCCTATGGTTCTAGTAAGACAAATATTTATAGCACTCTCAAAGAGTCCACTGTCTGTAATAAGTCAGATTATCCTCACGAATTTTACTAGAAAACTGTTATAAACATTTGAGTCCAACAAGCTGTCAATGTGAAGTTCAAATAAAGAGTCTCATCTCAGGAAACAATAACAACAAACAAGAAAATACTATACAACTTGAGTCACAAACCACAGTGTAGCCAACAGATTTGAAAATCATTCAAAAAGTTTAAGGACAACTTCAAAAAGAGACTTCAAAAGTAAAAGGCAATAGTATCTTAACAGAAAATGAACATTAATTGAAAGAAGTAGAATATGATACAAAAACTGTTAATATTGGTTTAATTTATGTTCATGTTTGTAATGAGTTGAATAGCATCCCCCTCCAAATTCGTGTCCCCCTGTAAACTGTGAATATGACCTTATTTGGAAATAGGGTTTTTGCAGGTGTAAGCAAGTTGTATGAGGTCATACCGAATGAAGATGGGCCTTATCCAATGACTCTTATCCTTCTAAGAAGAGGGAAATTTGGACGCAGATGTACCTGGGGTAAGACAGTCATGTGAAGATGCAGATAACAATTGGAGTTATGCTGTCACCAGTCAAGGAACACCAAGGATTGCTGGGAGCCACCAGAAGCTAGGGAGAGGCAAGAAAGGATCCTCCCCAAGAGCTTATAGAGGGAGCATGGTCTTCCCAACACCATATTTCAGACTTCTGGTTTCTAGAAATGCGAGACAACAAATTTTTGTTGTTTTCAACCATCTTAATTTGTGATAGTTTGTTACAGCAGCCTTGGGAAACTAATTCAATTTTGTATGCAAACAGTACAAAAATACATTTCGAAAAAAACTTATTTTTAAAAGTCCTGCAACAGACCATCTTTTTCTGGACACTGGGGCTATGTGGCCCTTTCTGTCAAATCCACATGTGATGTAATCTCTTCAAAAGAAGTGAACATTCTCTTGTTGATCTTTTTCTTCTCTGCTACCTATAACAGTGTCTGGCATATGACAGGCCCTCAAAAATATTTGTTGAATGGACAAACAAAAGTGTGCATAAATTGGCAACACTGACCTTATGTCCTTTTCAGATTTCATATTTTAACTTTTCGCACAAAAAATAGGATCATCTTTTAAAACATTGCTGTTTAAAATTTATACTTAAACAGCCTTATATAATAAATGATGATAGTTACAAGTACATCAGAAGGTCATATTAGAATAGATTGTTTTTATGAAAATAAAATATTATGGCACTGAATTTTATGTGAAAGTTATTGAATGACAAAGAATGATACATTCAGAGAGCATAAAACGATTCCTTTTGTAATCTCTGCTTTCTTTTCATTTAAAAGTCTATGAATTAGCATATGCTGTCAGGAATAATGATAATCCATTATTGCTATATTCTTGAGTGTAGGTGGCAAGGAGCTTTTTATTTGGTAATAAAGAGCAGTCTTTAAGCCACACAAATGCTCCAGGAGAAGACAGCATGCCATGTAAACACACTAGCACACATAATCTCCTGTGATAATTGATTCAGAGTTACTGACCTTCGGCACATTGAATGTTTTGATTTCTTCACTACGAGCCTCCAGGTGAATCCAGGGTGAAATTATAATATAAAAAGAGTTGCAGCAAAATTTTCTCCTAAGAAGGTGAAGTAGTCTGTTGATAATCTGAATCATTCAATTTTAGAAAGACATTATATAGCATCTAGGATCATGGCACTTATCAGAAACCATGGCATTTTAATTTCTTATTTTATGAAAAAAGAACTCATAGCCAGAGAGGTCAAACACTTGCCCAGGGTCACATAGGTAGTATCAGGACTGGCATCAGGACTCAGGTTTCTTAACTCTCAGTTAAGTGCTCTTTCTATTATTTGTATCATGTTGTTATTTTAAAAGAAATCTGCTCTAGCTAAGAGTCAGTTGTTGGTTTTCTGCCCTAGAAGGTAGAATTCTGTCACTAACTCATGAGTAACCCAAATGACTGACAATTTTAATCCCAATTAAACTCATATAGATGATCGTTAGGTAATTTAGGTGACTTTAGGCCTCTTAAAGTACAGACATTGAGGAATTTAAGTGGAACACGACCATTTAAGATGGTTAGTAGAGATAAGGACATTGAGAGGGAAAAAATAGCACTAAGAACAAGAACTTTGTGAGAAAAACAAAAGTAGATTTTTAATAATTTACTTTTTGGAATTTATTTTTTATTCAATATGCAAAACTATGTCGTTACTGTTTTCACATATTCAACTCGCAGAATATACCTTGTGTCATTCTGTCATTTTCATTTAAATGTTTGATGAACACAAATTAGAGAAAACACAAGAATTCCTCAAGGAAAGAGAGAACAAGGGCAAGAAAATGAGGGCCTTCATCAAGGGTCTGTAAGAGGCATGAAAAGTGCTAAGAATTTTAACACATTTCACATTTAATCCTCAAAGGCCTTCAAGCTACAAATTAAGGTTTTTCTTTTCTTTTCTTTTTCTTTTTTTTTTTTGAGATGGAATGTCACTCTGTCACCCAGGCTGGAGTGAGTGGCACAATCTTGGCTCACTGCAATCTCTGCCTCTTTCAAGTGATTCTCATGCCTCAGCCTCCCGAGTAGCTAGTGTTACAGGTGTGCCCCACCATGCCTGGCTAAATTTTTGTATTTTTAGTAGATAAAGGGTTTTGTCATGTTGGCCAGGCTGGTCTTGAGCTCCTGACCTCAGGTAATCTGCTCGCCTTGGCCTCCCACAGTGCTAGGATTAAAGGCATGAGCCACAGCATCTGGCCAGCTTGTTGTTTTTAATGATGAAAACTCTAACAACTGAGTAACAGATTTTTAGGATTGATATCCATCCCCCAAAATATTTACTGATCCTGCTGAATAAGAGCCTTGTATCAACCTTCTTCCTAAGCACTGTCTATGCACTTTCTTATTTAATATTCACAACAACCTTATAAAATAGAGATAGTAATTATCCTGAACTCATAGATGATATAATTGAGTCATAGGGAGGTAATAAGGGAAGGTAATGAATATATATGAAGTGTGTACTATATGCTGGCATTGCACTTGGCATTTTACATGTTGTATTAGCTGGTTCCCATGCTGCTAATAAAGACACACACGAGGCTAGGTAATTTATAAAAGAAAGAGATTTAATTGACTCACAGTTCAGCATGGCTGGGGAGGCCTCAGGAAACTTAGAATCATGACGGAAGAGGACACAAGCACATCCCTCGTCACATAGTGGCAGCAAGAAGTGCTGAGCAAAAGGGGGAAAAGCCCCTTATAAAATCATCAGATCTCATGAGAATCCACTCACTATGATGAGAACAGCAGCATGGGGGTAACTGCCCCCATGATTCAATTACCTCACACCGGGTTCCTCCCATGATGTGTGGGGATTATGGGAACTACAATTCAAGATGAGATTTAGGTGGGGACACCGCCAAACCATATTACATGTGAAATCTACTACATGCGAAATATATAATATAATCACACGGGTGGTAAAATTATTTACATTTTACAGACAAACAAATTTATATGTGAAGACATTAACTAACTTGCCCAGGTAATATAGGAAGGTAAAGTTTTAACTGTGATCTAAATTCAGCTCACATTCCAAATCCTTTCCATGATGCCACTGAGGATCTAAGATGAATTGGAGAAAGGAGAGTGTGGTGGAAGGGAGCACCAATAGAAGGTTTTTAAAATCATACGTGGAAAGAAAAAACAAGATCTGAACTTCAGTAGGTAGCAAAAATGGCAAACGTGGGATGGACTATTGAAGTATTGCAAAGGCAAAACTATTGAGGCTGTGGAGGGTAGTGGTGAAGTACTGCTGTGGAGTCGCATACACCTGAGTCACTATCTCTATAATCCTTACTTCTGTAAGCCTCAGTTGTCTCACTTGCAAAATATAAAGATTAAATGAGTTAATGCGTGTGAAATGATTAGGGGAGTGCCTCATACATAGTAAGTGCTCCATAAATGTTAGTTATTATTGGAAGCTGAGTAAGAGAGAGGAATCCAAGATGTTTTTAAGCTTTCTAATCCTAGTGTCTAGTGCCAGTAGTTGAGACTAGGAAGAGGTAGATAATAAAACTTGATTTCTACAATCTTTATCTCTGAATTAGACAGCAGATTCCTCTGCAGTAGTTTATTCTTGTAGTCTAAATAAACCAATTAAAAGCCAGACATTGGCAGAATGGATTAAAAACACAACTCAGTTATATATTGTCTATAAGAAACTCATTTCAAATATAATAATATAAGCAGGTCGAAAGTAAAAAAAGAAGATATATCATGCAAACATCAATCAAAGGGAAAACAAGAGTGGCTATAGTGATATCACATAAAATAGATTTCAGACAAAAGAAAGTTATCAGAGACAGGGAAAATTACTATATAATAATAAAGTGATCCATCCACTTAGAAGACATAGCAATCCTAAATATGTATAGAGCAAGCAACAGAACTGTTAAATATATAAAGCCAAACTGATAGAACTGAAAGGAGAAATAGTCAAATTTACAAATACTGTTGGAGACTTCAACCCCTCTCTCGCAACAATCCATAGGATAACTAGAAAGAAAATCAACAAGAGTGTAGAAGAGCATCATTAATCAATAAGATCTAATCAACATTTGTAGAAAATGTTATAGATAGAAAATTTTTATTTATAGGACACTCCATCCAACAACAACAGAATACACATTATTTTCAAGTGCCCATGAACCATATACTGAGATAGACCCTATCTAAGCCATAAGACAAACCCTAGGGAATTTAAAGGAAACACAATTAAACAGTATGTTCTCTGACCACAACAGAAATAAGGTAGAAATAAATAGCAGAAAGATAGCAAGAGAATCTCCAAGCCCTTGGAAACTAAACACTTCTAAATCATCTAAGAGTTAAAAAGGTAGTCTTGAGGGAAATAAAAAAAAAAGTGAATGAAAATGAAAATACAACATATTGAAATTGGTGCTAGGGAAGATCTGAGAGAGAAATTTAAAGCACTAAATGCATACATTAGAAAAGAGTAATAGTCTTAAACCAATAGTCTAGCCTCCCACCTTGATAATCTGGAAAAAGAAGAGCAAAATAAACTGAAAGCAAATATAAAGGAGGAAAATAGATAAAAGCTGATATCAATGACATTGAAAACAGAAAAACAAAGAGGAAATTAATGAAACAAAAAGTTATTTTTTTAACAGATCAATAAAATTGAAAAGCCTCTAGCAGCAGTGACAAAGAGAAGACACAGATTACCAGTATTAGGAATGAAACAGGATATCACTGCAGAGTCTGCAGCCATCGAAAGTACCATAAGGGAGTACTACAAACACCTTTACACATTCAAATTTGACAACTTACATGAAATAGATTGATCCCTTGTAAAACAAACTACTACAATGTGCCAAATGCGAAATAGGTAATTTGAATAGCCCTGTAACTATTAAGATAATTAAACTTGTAGTTTAAAACCTTCAAAAAGAAATCTCTTCAGCCTTATGTTTTCTCTGGAGAACTCTAGCAAATAGTTAAGTAAGGATTAATATAAATTCTGCACAATCTCTTACAGAAAATACAAGACAAAGGAATACTTCTTGATTCATTTTATAAACCTAGTTTTACCCTAATAATCAAACTCTACAGACACTACAAAAAAATAAAACTATAGATTAGTATCACTCATGAATATAGATGCAAGCATCCTTAACAAATATTAGCAAATAGAATTCAGCAATCTATAAAAAGAATTATGTACAATGATCAAGCAGGGTTTCTTTCAGAAATTCAAGGCTGCATCAATATTTATTTCTTTACTTATTTGAGATAGGGTTTTGCACTGTCACCAAGGCTGAGTGCAGTGCTATGCTCACAGCTCACTGTAGCCTCCACCTCTATCTGTACAAAAAATAAAAAAATTTAGCTAGGCATGGTGGTGTGTGCCTGTAATCCCAGCTACTGAGGAGGCTGAGGTGAGAGGATCACTTGAGCCTGGGGATTTGAGGCTACAGTGAGCCATAATCATGCCACTGCACCCAGCCTCAGTGACAGAGTGAAACCCTGTCTCAAAAATAAAAAAGAAAAGAAAAGGAAACAAAAATTGTACAGACCAGAAAGGAAGAAATGAAACTTTTGCAACTTGCAGATGACATGATTGATTTATGTAGAAAATCCCAAGGAATCGACAAAAAATCCTCAAGCTAATGATTGAGCTAAGCAAGGTCACAGGATATAAGATACATGTACAAAATCATTTGTACTTCTATGACTAGCAATGAACTCTTGGACATCAAAATAAAAAATGCAGTACCATTTACAATTGCTAAAAAGGTTAAAGATTTAGATGTAAATCTTATGAAACATGTATAGGACTAATATACTGGAAACTACATGACACTTTAAAAAGTTGACAATCTGAATAAATGAAGAGACATATTGTGTTCATAGACTGGAAGACTTGACAGTAAAGATATCAATTCTGTAGAAATTGATCTATACATTTAATATAATTCCTACAAAAATCCCAGCAAGATATTTTCACAGTTATAGACAAGATCATTCTAAAATTAAAATGAAAAGGTACATGAACCAGAATAGCTAAAATTATTTTGAAAAAATAAATACAGTTGATCTTTGGTATCTGTGGGGGATTGGTTCCAGGACCTCCTGTGGATAGCAAAATCTTCAGATGCTTAAGTCCCTTATATAAAATGGCATAGTATGTGTATATAATCTGTGCACCTCCTCGCATATACTTTAAAATCATCTCTAGATTACTTATAATACCTAATATCATGTAAATGCTATGTCAATAGCTGTTTACTATATTGTTTAGGGAATACTGACAAGAAAAATGTCTGTATGTGTTTAGTACAGGCATAATTTTGTATCTGAATATTTTTGATCCAAAGTTGGCTGAATTCACATATAGGAACCCACAGATACAGAGAGTTGACTGTATAATGGGAGGAATCAGGATATCTAATTTCAATATAGCTATAATAATCAAAATTGAGTTGTTGCTAGAGGGATAGAGACACAGAAAAATGGAACAGAATAGAAAATCCAAATGTAGACTCACTCAAATATACCCAACTGACTTTTTACAAAGGTACAAAAACAATTCAATGGAGGAAAGTTAGCCTTTTCAATTAACAGTGCTAGGGCAATTAGACATCCACATACAAAAAAAAAAAAAAAAAAAAAAAAAAAAAAAATAACCAGCTACATCTGTTTCATAGTTTATTCAAAAATTAACTCAAAATGAATTGTAAACTTAAATGTAAAATGTAAAACTAAAAATTTTATTTGAAAGATATAGGAGAAAATCTTTGAGATCTAAGGCTAGGAAGGGGTTATTAGACTTGACACAAAAATCATGATCCATAAAAGGATATTTGATAAACTGGACTTCATTAAATTAAAAACTTGTTTTGTGCAAATGCAAATTTTGATTCAGGGAGTCTATTGTTGAACCTGAGATTCTGCACTTACTAAAAGTTTTCAGATGATGCTGAAGCTGCTGGTGTAGGAACCATACTTTGAATAGCAAAAGACAGACAATCTGTTTGGCTCCTTACAGTCCTAAAATTACAGGGATAAATAATTTAATGGACAAATAAATTTTGTTATTTTATAGGGTTCACAATTAAGAGAAGTAGAGGAGATAATTTCAGTGGAAGGAATAATAGAAACCCCTCAAAATCCAATTTTATAGCTGTATAAAATGAAGAACAAAATGTTATCTTTTCAAATGTCTTTAATTATCTAATATTCTCATTTTTTCTAAAAAGATAATAAAAGGAGGTTTTTTAATTCAAAGGTATAACTGAATAGGTAGATTTGTTTATAGCTATTCTTGTGAAACACTTTTTAAAAAAAATACGACCAACTTCTGTGCAAATAGCAGACACATACCTCAACTATCATGAGCTAATTTTTGGTGGATAATATACATAATTAGGCACAAATAGGCAAGTTCACACTGGTAGATTAAGTATCAAATATTCAGTCAAAACTCCATTTGTGGCCCCCACTTCTTGATCGAGTTCTATTCCCACTTCATCTTCTACCATCTTGTCGACTTCCTGAGTGACTCCCTTGTCGACTCTGTCTACCTGATAGGCCACCAGATGGACCACCTGACTGGCCTGACCCGCCTGACCAGCCACTTGACCAGCCATTCCTCCGTTGGGGATTAGAAGACTTGTTTCCATCATAATATTCTTCAATTTCAGGTAATTTGGCTGGCACTGAGAGTATCCAGTTGGAATCGTGCCACACTGCCTGTAACCTTTCTGATTCAGTTGTAGGAACATCAAAGCAAACACCCATATTTCCTTTCAGGAGGCACACACTGGTAATCTGAGACGCTGTATTACTACTTAGCTTTCTATTAAGTTCTTTCCAGGCACAGGTGACATCCTGTATTTCCTCTAGGCTTTCCAGAGTCATGGTCATCAGAGGCGATCAAAGACTGTGGTTCAAAACTTGATGCACCAGAAATGTGGGCTAAAGTTGCAGCCAATGCATCCACTGCCCCTTTCTCTTCTATCAGTCTCTGAGCTGATGGTCAGAAAAAATCAACAGCAGCATAAGAAACGGAAGTCAGAAACCTGATGGTATCCATGCTTTTAGATTTAACTAAATCCATTGTAGAAGGAACACCTACACATTTAAAAGTAATTCTTGCTTTTTGTTCCACATATCTTAGTTGACCTCTTTCTCTTGGTTGATAAAAACATATACAAATCCCTGTCCAGCTCTACCTGTGCATCCAGAGCGATGGATACGGGCCTCAACATCCTGAGGAGGAGAATGTTGAATCACCAGGTCTACTTCAGGAATGTGCAAACTATGGGCAGCCACATTGGTTGCCACCAAAACTTTAAAACTATCTTCTCTGAAGCCTTTTAGTGTAATTTCTCTTTGTGACTGTGCAATATCCCCATGTAAACACTGGGCATTCTGTTTTATGTGTGGATTCATGGCCATTTCAGTTACATTCTTCCTGGTCTCACAGAAAATAATAGCCCTCCCTTCAGACCCACTGTAGACTTGAAGGACATCTCCAATAACTGCTGGCCTCTGAGACCAATGACACTGAATGGCCAAGTGTTCCACAGTAGTTGCAGCCTTTTGAGTCATTTATCCAATAAGGTCAACCTGTTCATATCTGGATTTCATGTATTTATTTGCAACTTTGTATACCCACTGTGGGCAAGTTGCAGAAAAAAGTAAAGTCTGAGGATGGTCTTCAGATTCAGTTTTGTAGGATTTGTGAATCACATCTTCAACTTGTTCATTAAAATCTAAATCTAACGTTTGATCCACTTCATCAAGCACAACATGGCACAGTTTAGAAAGATCCAATCAGCCACTCTGCAGATGATCTTTGATATGACCAGGGGTTCCAACCAAGATGTCAATACCATTTTGCATATGATTAATTTGGCTTTGATATGGTATTGCACCATAAAAACACACCATGCTGAGTTTCCTAGTTTTATCTTTGAAGTCTTTGGCTACTTGGTTTGCCAGTTCCCTTGCTGGAGCCAAAACAAGTACCTTTGTTGAGCAGCTTTTTAAAAATTGTTTCTTGATTTCTTTGGAGTCTTTCAATCAAGGGGATGGCAAAAAAGAATGTCTTTCCTGTTCCTGTCCATGCTCGAGCTATTAAATCTTTTCTTTCAAATACAGGACAAGGTCCTAACTTGAATAGGAAAGAGATATGTTACCCTTTGATGTTTCAGAAGCTTTACAGTCTCTTCAGAAATACGGAAATAGGAGAAAGCTCTTTCTTTCTGTTCACATGTTAAGGTCTCCTCTAGTTTATTATCACTTGATTTATGAGTAGAACTATCTAAGGATGATACTTGCTTTGATTTTTTTTTTCATATTCATCAATATTTCCATTTGGTAGATCTTTTCTTCCTATGAGATTTAGAGAATTTATCTGAAAGTCTACAAATCCTTCTTCAGTGTCTCCATTTAGCTTCTCTTTCATTTTAGTTTTTTTTGGCCTTGGAAGCATCCAGGTCATCTATAACAACATTTTCTCTTGTTTTTGATTTCTCATCTGGGTCATAATGGTGCCTTGACTTCCTTCTGTCACTCCAGCACTGTGTAATGTGTTTTCAGCTTATCTTGTTTAAATCTTCATAACAACCCTATAAGGGAAGTACAGGTCTATAATCCCTTATCTGAAATTGCAATATCGATAGAGCTCTTAGTGATAAGGTCAGGGGGTAGATTCTGCTTTCTAAGGCTATACAAAATAAGTCTCATTCTTTTGTTGAATGTCAGCCTTCAAATACTGCCACCTTAGCCTCTTCAGCTGATTTCTTTTTTGCAGGTCAAATGTTTCCAGTAAAAATTTTACCTGTGCATTTTCCAGCACCCTGTGATCCTCTGAGTGTTTCAGGATTTTTTTTTCCTTTTCCTTTTTTTTTTGGAGGGCAGGCGGGTGGGAGGAGGAAAGACTCTACAACTCCTCTACAGGCTCCTTGAGGGCAGGGACCATTTCTTAGTTTAAGCCCCTCGGTGCTCAGCAAAGAGTATAGTACAAATTAGGTTCAATAAATACCTTTTGCCTGTCCTTCTTCTGGCTCTCGGACTCCTCCAAGGGTGTTTTCAGCTCCATAATGTCGCCCCAAGGAGTTTCCCAGGCATTACTGGCCACCACCTCCCTCCACGCACAGTGGCCACAACTACCTGTGGGCAGTGACAGCATGGAAGGAAGCTGGGCCTAATGCTTTACTCAAATCACACTGATATTGAAAATGATGAATCATTCTGATGAAAAATGATCAAGTTTCTGCATGAAACCTCATTTTACATTGATTTTATGGCCAAAACGTAAGCTTCTGAAATGAATATATCTTGATACTTAAGTTACTATATTTATTTATTTATTTAGAGTTGGAGTCTTACTCTGTCACCCAGGCTGGAGTGCAGTGGCGCGATGTTGGCTCACTGCAACCTCTGCCTCCTGGGTTCAAGCGGTTGTCCTGCCTCAGCCTCCTGTGTAGCTGGGATTACAGGTCCGTGCCACCAGGCCCAGCTAATTTTGGTATTTTTAATAGAGATGGGGTTTCACCATGCTGATCAGGCTGTTCTCAAACTCCTGACCTCGTGATCCACCCACCTTGGCCTCCCAAAGTGCTGGGATTATAGGTGTGAGCCACCACGCCCGGCCACTTCATTTCTTATTATGGAAATTTGTATTCTCATATTTTCAATTCATACTTTTTAGCCCTGTGTGAATCCGTGTGTACAATCATCACAGACTGCAATAAATCCTTAGGGAATTTTGGATTTAAGTGTGTTGTTTCTCTTGGGATTATTAGACAGGGTTTTTCATTCTCTGTTCTAATAGAAACGAAACCTCTAGTTTTATCTCTTAGAATGGCATTTCAAATCAGATATGATATGTATCCAAATTTATTTCCATATTTTATCCTTTATTTCTGTTTTTCTAACAAAATAAAAGAGGATAAACTAGCTTGAAAGAAAGCATACACTGATTGTAATTTAACAAGAAAATAAAATTTCATCAGGAATAAATGAATCCTAAGAAATGAAATAATTTTTTATATCCTAATGATAAGCACTCATTCAATTGGATGTTAGGAATATCCTACAAAAAATGTTTGCAAGAAAAAAATTTCTCATACCTAATTCACCAGAATTAGGTCAGAAATGATATATTTTCATTCGTAAGACAGTTTCAAAGGATAAATACAATGTTTTTGTAAGGTTGCTATACTCCAGAAAAGGTGTTAAAGTTTACATTGATGATATTCATGTAAGTATGGAAGACAAGAATACTTTCGTCAAACATCATATTGGGATACAAAGAGCATCAAACTAAAAAGCAAATTTAAAGAGGCAAATAGAGTAGGCAGTGTCCTAGGGTAGAGGAGGCTAGTGACAGGGAATAAGAGTAAATGAGCACTTGGGACCTTCCTGGTGTGATGAAATGTTCTAAAACTGATTTATGGTGATGTTTGTACAACTTGGTAAACTTACTAGAAATCATTCACTTGCTCACTTGAAGTGGATGACTTATGGGCTATGTTAGTCCATTTTCACGCTGCTATGAAGACATACCTGAGACTGGATAATTTATGAAGATAAGAGGTTTAATTGACTCACAGTTCAACTGTGAGTCACTGAATTTGAATGTGGAAGTTCTGGCCAGGGCAATCAGGCAGGAGAAGGAAATAAAGGGTATTCAATCAGGAAAAGAGGAAGTCAAATTGTCCCTGTTTGCAGATGACATGATTGTATATCTAGAAATCCCCATCGTCTCAGCCCAAAATCTTCTTAAGCTGATAAGCAACTTCAGCAAAGTCTCAGGATACAAAATCAATGTGCAAAAATCACAAGCATTCTTGTACACCAATAACAGACAAACAGAGAGCCAAATCATGAGTGAACTCCCATTCACAATTGCTTCAAAGAGAATAAGATACCTAGGAATCCAACTTACAAGGGATGTGAAGGACCTTTTCAAGGAGAACTACAAACCACTGCTCAATGAAATAAAAGAGGATACAAACAAATGGAAGAACATTCCATGCTCATGGGTAGGAAGAATCAATATTGTGAAAATGGCCATACTGCCCAAGGTAATTTATAGATTCAATGCCATCCCCATCAAGCTACCAATGACTTTCTTCACAGAATTGGAAAAAACTACTTTAAAGTTCATATGGAACCAAAAAAGGGCCCGCATCGCCAAGTCAATCCTAAGACAAAAGAACAAAGCTGGAGGCATCACACTACCTGACTTCAAACTATACTACAAGCCTACAGTAACCAAAACAGCATGGTACTGGTATCAAAACAGAGATATAGACCAATGGAACAGAACAGAGCCCTCAGAAATAATGCCACATATTTACAGCCATCTGATCTTTGACAAATCTGACAAAAACAAGAAATGGGGAAAGGATTCCCTATTTAATAAATAGTGCTGGGAAAACTGGCTAGCCCTATGTAGAAAGCTGAAACTGGATCCCTTCCTTACACCTTATACAAAAATTAATTCAAGATGGATTAAAGACTTAAATGTTAGACCTGAAACCATAAAAACCCTAGAAGAAAACCTAGGCAATACCATTCAGGACATAGGCATGGGCAAGGACTTCATGTCTAAAACACCAAAACCAATGGCAACAAAAGCCAAAATTGACAAATGGGATCTAATTAAACTAAAGAGCTTCTGCACAGCAAAAGAAACTACCATCAGAGTGAACAGGCAACCTACAAAATGGGAGAAAATTTTCGCAACCTACTCATCTGACAAAGGGCTAATATCCAGAATCTACAATGAACTCAAACAAATTTACAAGAAAAAAACAACCAACCCCATCAAAAAGACACAGCCAAAGGACACATGAAAAAATGCTCACCATCACTGGCCATCAGAGAAATGAAAATCAAAACCACAATGAGATACCATCTCACACCAGTTAGAATGGCGATCATTAAAAAGTCAGGAAACAACAGGTGCTAGAGAGGATGTGGAGAAATAGGAACACTTTTACACTGTTGGTGGGACTGTAAACTAGTTCGACCATTGTGGAAGTCAGTGTGGCAATGGCTCAGGCATCTAGAACTAGAAATACCATTTGACCCAGCCATCCCATTACTGGGTATACACCCAAAGGATTATAAATCATGCTGCTATAAAGACACATGCACACGTATGTTTATTGCGGCACTTTTCACAATAGCAAAGACTTGGATCCAACCCAAATGTTCAACAGTGATAGACTGGATTAAGAAAATGTGGCACATATACACCATGGAATACTATGCAGCCATAAAAAATGATGAGTTCATGTCCTTTGTAGGGACATGTATGAAGCTGGAAACCATCATTCTCAGCAAACTATCGCAAGGACAAAAAACCAAACACTGCATGTTCTCACTCATAGGTGGGAATGGAACAATGAGAACACATGGACACAGGAAGGGGAACATCACACACTGGGGCCTGTTGTGGGGTGGGGGGTGTGGGGAGGGATAGCATTAGGATATATACCTAATGTTAAATGACGAGTTAATGGGTGCAGCACACCAACATGTCACATGTATACATATGTAACTAACCTGCGCATTGTGCACATGTACCCTAAAACTTAAAGTATAAGAAGAAATAAAAATAAAAATAAAAGAAAGAAGTTGGGCTAAATAAACCCCAAAGTATCTCTTATGTCTTCCTATTCCAACATTCTATGGCTATTTTGGCAAAGTAGCCTCAATGAAATCACTTTTTTTCCTTGAAAAATATCTAAGTATAAAAGCTCTTCTAAAAAAAATTAAAATCACCAAACCTTTAAAAACTTCCCCAAAGAAATTACAGATCCAAGATACTTGAAAAGAAACTTTATTTATCAATAAAGCATTGTTGTTGAAGGAATATTTTTATCCTTCCAAAATATATGAAATCAAAGCCACTACGCAGCCTACAATGAAAATGTCTGAGGTGGGAAGATACAACAAGAATGAAAAGAAAGCAGATTATAAACCCATGTTTATGAGTTTCATAGACCTTTATGAACTAGAAAGAAACCTGTAAGGATGATTTAATGATGCTTATACACTTCTAATTTATACCCTCTTTCAATAGGAAACACTTATTAAGCTCGAATACAGGTAAGAGACCATGTAAGATCCTGTAGATATGGTCATATACAGGGATGTGCATGTCTTATGTATTTGTGCATGGGTGTTTGTATATATAATGTATAGTTAACTCTTTTCTGGTGATAGAAATAATACATTACTGCTTCATTTTGCTATTGAAATATATCTAAAGAACATGCACCAAGAAGTGCCTTAGGTCATAGAAAATTAAGGATGACTTCTATATCACTATAACTTTAATAATTTTAACCCTTGTGAAAAAAATCGTTTAACTCCATAGAGCCTATACGGGTAGTATGCATTATTTAAATCAATGGAATTTTCTTCTCAGTTTTTTTTTGTGCAAAATAAGGGACATTCTTTAGAAAATTCTGTGATACTTCTTATCTAGAAAATAATTTGATAAGTTTAATATTTATGCCTTAAAAACATAACATATGGCATTATACTCTGGTAGTTTGTATTCTTGTCAGTGAAGCTAAGCTGGGAATTAATTACATTTTCCATATGTCTCTTACTTGTATCCCTGCAGATTGAAGTTGGCCAAGAAAGGAAGTTACATGCTATTTGGAAGGTGGAAAAAGCAATGGCCATAACCATTTGAAAAATCTTCTCATAGGCAGAATCAGAGACAGACAGAAGAAAGGGTACCAGAGAGGGGCCAGCTTGTCATCACTCACTTCTGCTCCACATCTAGCTTTTCTTGACTACTGGTATTGTTGACCAACAGAGCCTCCAATCCACCCCAGATGCTTGGCTATGGGCCCACAGAGGTCGTGGTTATTCAGAGGCAACAGCTTTTCATAGACCTCTCCACAAATTTCCCCTTTGTGGTCCTACTTTGCTGGCTAGACATACTTGGTTTCTCAAGCTGACTGAGTGGTAACTCTGTCTCTGATCCTCAAACTTCTCTTCAAGTCCTCTTCTTCTCCAGCTTTCTCCACAATTCTAAACGAAGTATCTTATCCCATAACACCCATAGTGTTTTTGCTCCTTGGACTAAACCTTAATAGATACAAATTCCTAATCAATGGAAGAGAAAACCTAACTAAAATAATGAAGAAAAATATGATGATTTTAATTAATTAAAAAACCCAAAAACATTTATGGATGAAGGTGGTGGAAGGTAGTCCAATCACAGAATCTCTCTCATCCAGTAAGATGAAGAAAGACAACAGTCACAGATTCACCAGGAGCAACCAAACAAGGAAAGTGTCCAGTCTCATGCAAAACTTCTAAGAGTGCTGGCCACCAAACAGAAACAAAAGATTCATCCACTTCTGTAAGCAGTTGCCCAGAAAGAAGACGATTTGAAAAAATCTGAGAATTCTGGCTATGAATGAATTCCATTTTGGTAAGAGATGGTTTAAAGTAATGATTCTCAAAATGAGGGCTGCAAGCAGTTTCAGGGGATCTGTGGTCAAAACCCATCTTACAAACAGTTTCAGGGGGTCTGTATGGCCCAAGCTATTTTAATGACTATACTAAGGTTTTATTTATCATTTTCACCATGGTAACATTTTTACTGAAGGTACTAAAGCAATGGTGGGTAAAACTGCTGGCAGTTTAACAAGAATCAAGGCTGTGGCAACACATTTTCTTGGTAGCCACTGTATATCTAATCACTGCACATATAGAGTAAAAAATAAACCAACAATTTCACTTAAGAATGTCCTTGATGAAGGTGTGTATTACGATTATCCCCATTTTACAGATGAGAACATTGAGATGCACAGATGTTAAGTATGTTTTTCAAGGTCAAACAGCCAATAAGTGGTAGAACTGGAATTCCAATCTGGGCAGTATGGCACTAGAAAAAAATAGATAGTACAATTCAATTTATTCATTCACTATATTTTTATTGAGTACTTAATATGAGGCAGATACTACTCCAGGGATCGGAGATACAAAATGATTATCCATCTGTCCATCCAAACATCCATTCATTATTCTCTCTGCATATGTGCATAGAGACCTATAGTAATTTCTAGGTAGTATAATTTTAGGTTAGATGCCTCTCTCTTCTTGGTAGTTTTCTGTACTGCTTGAATTTTACAAATAATGAGCATAAGCTATTTTTATTAAAAACAATAAAGTAATTATTCTTAAGACAAAACTGAACACAACTAATTTCTCTTTTGAAGAAAATACAAAGTAAAATTTCAAGTCTTAAAGGAGTATGAAAAGACTGCTCTGTTCTTTCTTCCACTTTTAAGTATTCTTTCTTCCCACTACCTACATAGCAACAGAATATAGTATACGGAAAATTCTTTTCTAAAATTGATTTAGAAGACAAAGTCTCCAAAATCTTCCCATCCCACACAGCAGATACTAAAGCAATTCTTTTTAAAATACATTATTACAAAGATTCTTTATAAAAAATTAACTGAAAATTCTAGTGGTATTATTGAATCTCAAATAAAAAGAATGCTAATGATGAAGTTATACATAGAACATCACTCATATGCACACTTTTCAGAAATTAGACACTTGCCTTCAGGGGAAATGAGTTCTGTGAAAGTGAAAATGGCATATTCAACTAGTCTTCTTATTCCTGGGGAGAGAATAGCATACACATTTTAACAACAACATCAGGAATACATAAAAGTACGTGTCCTAATAAAATCTAGATGTTTCTTTGTAACCTGATTGATAGTGCTTTTTCAATTGATGGAATTACTAAGATATTTGCATTTAAATTTTTTCTCAGTTTTGGTTTTAATTCACATTCATTATTTATATAGTGGATAGGACAATCATATGCACTAATGTATATTTTAATTTTACAGGGTGAAAATTTGTGATGCTCCAAAGCTTTTGTTTTCAAAAATTTTGGACCAGTACGGGGTGCTTTTTTTCTTTTCTCTATCAAAACTTGTTAGGGTTTCAGAATAAATTGGCCATCCTAATGTGGAAGTCTAGGAATCTGGGTATCCACCTTCTTAGAACCAATAATTCCCTTTATTATAAAAGTATTCGAGGAACATTAAATGCACTGATTGAACCTATTTGTTCTTCCAGGGTCCAGACCTCTAATCTTTATTCTTTAGACATGTTGTTTACAAATGCCAGTCTTAGATTGGTGCTGAACTGACCACATACAAATACAAGCAGAGCTTATTAAAAAGATACATTTATAGTCTCTACTTTGAGAAATTTTAATTTAGTAGTTTAGAATTGGAAGCCAAAATTTATATTTGTGAAGAGTTCTCCAGATTATTTTCATATATAGCCAGATCTGAGAACTACTGACTTAGAATATCCTAAAAAAGACAGGTGGATCATGAGGTCAGGAGATCGAGACCATCCTGGCTAACATGGTGAAACCCCGTCTCTACTAAAAATACAAAAAATTAGCCGGGCGTGGTGGCGGGCATCTGTAGTCCCAGCTACTCCAGAGGCTGAGGCAGGAGAATGGTGTGAACCCGGGAGGCGGAGCCTGCAGTGAGCCGAGATCATGCCACTGCACTCCAGCCTGGGCGACAGAGCAAGACTCCGTCTCAAAAAAAAAAAAAAAAAAAAATGACAGAGCTGTGATGTCACATGGAGCAAACACTTTCTTGGTTAATTTACTGTCACCCCAAAAAAGACATGGAGAAATATCTTGCTAGATTTCCATATTCTCCTGTTTCCCAAGTTTTAGTCAGAATTACAACTAAAGAAGCCAATAAGCATTTTTGTTAGCTGAAACACTTAAAAACTATTAAAAATATCAAAACTTCAGGGGGAAGAAACATTTATCATGAAGCTAATGAAGCTTAAGTTCCACAGCTAATCACATGCATGGGCCACTCTGAGTGCTGATTATTGTTGAAAGTGGCAGTGCCCTGAGTGAAGAGTGGAAGCCAGGTTGCAATCAGAATGCATTCTTTGTAAGTGTATCTGGGAAATGGCCTAAAGAGATCTCAGACAATGTGTGTCTGAATCTCCAAGGCACCAATACACTTATTATTATATTTTTTTATTATAAATAAATATTCATTTTTGTATCTAATTTTGTATTCATGATTTGCATACTTTTTCTTACAGTTGTTTTTCCCAAACAAACACTATTCAAGTCCTATATAACCTGGATCCATCCATGTGTCAATGATCAATATTAAGGATTCAGTGCAGAAATATCAGGGCTATTTAGAGGTATTCCATTGGAAAATGATTACACATGAGATCACTTGAAAATGCACATTAGCAGATAATCTTTGAAGACTCCTCTAAGAAGAATCTGGGTAGAGGGTGCAAAGGTCTTGTAGAAAGAAAGAGCATGGCATATTCAAGGAAATAAAATTAATAGGTTAGAAACTGAAGCAAATAGTTCAAGGGGAGGTTGAGGGGAGATGAAACCACAGGAACCAATCACTGAAGCCACATTAAGGAGTTTTAACCTTGTCCTTAAGGCGAAAGGAACTACCAAAGTGTTCTAAGCATAAAATTGACAGGAGAAAAATTATATTTTTGCAAATTTATTCCGGGCTGTGATGTGTAGATCAGAGGGTTGTCTCAGTACACTTTTGCTGCTATAACAAAATACTACAAACTGAATAATTTACAAATTATTCAGTCTTGAATAATTGGCCTCCTGGTTCTGGAGGCTAGGAAGTTCAAGATCAAGGTTCCAGCATTAGTGTTTGGTGAGGGGTGCTCTCTGCTTCTAAGATGCTGTCCCATTGCTGCAGCCTCCAGAGGGACAAACACTGTGTCCTCTCATAGCAAAAATGACAGGGAAGAGGGTGCTCTCTTCAACCTTGAGCCCATTTATAAGGATGTTAATCCTGATAGTGACAGGAAACAGACAAATTCCTTAGGCAGACAGGGACAAGTCCCCAGTGAAATCCAACCTTCAAGCCAAGGGCAGTCTAAAACCTGAAAACCAAGCTGCCACTTCTGGATAGAGTCCATGACAGGAGTGAGAACTTCCATCCCTGTCTTGCCCAGTCTCTCTTGGTTGGTTCCTTCTGAATGATGCCTTTTCAATCCAAAGGTGCTTTTTCCAAGACCAGCCATGGACAAATCAGCGTGCATTCCCCTATTTTAAGCCCATAAAAACCCCAGATGACAACCCACTTTTGGGTCCCCCTCCCACTGACAGCTTTCTTTCTGTGGCTCAATAAAATTCTACTCTGCCTTACTCACTCTCCAGTGTTCATGTACCTTATTCCTCTTGGTTGTGGGACAAGAACCTGGAACTCACTGAAATGCAGGAGTGGAAGCTGTGCTGAGCTGTGGGCAGCAGGAATAAAAGAGCTGTAACTCTCTCTCCCTCTCATGGAACAATGGGAGAGAAGAAGCGAAGCTGCTGGGCACCACTCCCTCCTACTAACCAAGGTATGGGAGTGAAGAAGTGAAGCCACTGGGTGCCACTCCCTCCTGCTTGCTGAACTATGGGAGTAAAAAAGCTGCAACAATCCCATTCATGAGGGCAGAACCCACAGGTCTAATCACCTTTCAAAAGTCATACTTCTTAATACTACTGCATTGGGCATTAAGTTACAACATGAGTTTTGGAGAAGACATCATGATTTAAACCATAGCATTCCACTCTTGGATCCTCAAAATTCATGTTTTTCTCACATACGAAATACATCATTCCATTCCAGTAGACCCCAAAAGTCTTAACTTGTTTCAGAATCAACTTTAAAGTCTAAGTCCAAAGTCTTATCTAAATATCATCTAAATCAGATGTGAGTGAGACTCAAGGTATAAATCATCTCAGGCAAATTACTCTCTAGCTATGAGCCTGTGAAATCAAACAAATTATCTACTTTCAAAATACAATGGTGAGATAGGCATGACACAGACATTTTCATCTCAAAAGGGAGAAATAGGCAAGAAGAAAGAAGTAATACGTTTCAAGTAAGTCCAAAACCTAAAAGGGAAAACAACGTTGAATATCAAGTCTTGAGAATAATCTTCTTCAGCTCTATCTCCTGTCTTACGGACTTACTGAGACTGAAGTTGGGCTCCAAAGGCCCTGGGGGATCCCACCCCCATGGCTTTGCTGGATGCTGCTCATGCAGCAGTTCTCATGAGTTGGAGTCATGTGCCTGCAAGCTGGGATTGCACTCTGGCAGTTCTAGAGTTCTGGAGTTTCAGGGCAGCCTTACTCCCACAGCTTCATGAGACATTGACTAAGTAGAGACTCTGTGGTGGCCCCACCTTCACAGACCTGCTAGGCATTGCCCTGGTGGGGACTTTTTGCAGTGGCCCCACCCCATGACTCTGCTAGGCATTGCTCTACTGGAGACTCTCTGCAGCCACCCTGCTCCTGTGGCATTTCTTTGCCTGGCCACCTGAGACTCTCTGAGTCATCCTTTGAAATCTAGGTGGAGGTAGCAATACCTCCACAGCTTGTGTACTTTGCATGCTTGCAATCTTAGCACCACTTCAATGATGAATGTTGATACCTTTTAACCCCACAGCTGGGAGCAGTTCACCAGAGTATGGGGGAGGAGAGACTTGAGGTGACCCTGGGCAGCAAACCCCAAGGTTCCACAGGTGCCCTGGGCCCCTCCTTTGAAACTTCTGCCTTCAAGTCTCTGGTATTCTTGGCCTGTGATGGGAGTGGCAGTCTCAAAGATCTCCAAAATGCCTTCAGAGTTATTCTTCCATTGTTTTGATCAATAGCATCTGGCTTCCCTCTATTCATACTAATTTCCTTATCAATGAGTAGCTTGGCCACATCCTCAGTTTTCCCTCCTTAACCATACTTTTGTTCTTTATATAACCAAGCTGAAATTTTTTCAAATCTTTACCTTCTGCTCTACTTTTGACCGTAAATTCAATCTCGAGCATTTTTTCTCTTCTCACACTTTACTATAAGCGGTTAAGAAAAGCCATGCACCACCCTGAACACTTTGCCTAGAGATTTCTTCCACCAAATGTCTTAGTTCATGGCCCTTAAATTTTGCCTTCCACAAAGGATTAGGACATGAACATAATTCAGGCAGTTCTTTGCCACTTTGTAACAAAGATGACCTTTCCTCCAGTTTCCAATAAGATATGCCTTATTTCCATCTAAGATGTCTTCAAAATGCTCTTTTCTATCCATATTTCTACCCACAGTCTGTTCATGACCACTTAGATAATATCTAACACTGAAGCTTTTATACTGCTTTTCTCTTCTGAGACCTCACCAGAATTGCCCTTAATGCTCCATTCACAGCAATCTAGGCTTTTTCTAGCACGCACTTTAAAACTGGTCAAGCCTCTACCCATTATCTATTTCCAAAGCTGTTTCCATATTTTCAGGTATTTGTTATAACAATACCTTACTTATGGTACCAATCTGTAAGCCAAAAATAAAATCCTAGGCCCTCAACCAAATGACTGGACCCTCTTTGGGCCAAACAGACCCCTAGAGAAACCTGAAAAACTGAATTCTCAGCCATGACAAAAAGGGAGGTCAGACACTCCTTGTTATACTCTCTTCCTGTTGGAGTTTAGGCACAACTGACCAGCACTGACATTAAAATAGAGATCATAAGACTGATCTCCTTGAGGCAATAAGATATCATATTAGAACCTACTCTGGTACAGCATTACATGACAGATAGCAGACCCTGAAGGAAATCAAAATACTTTACTCCAAAATACATTTCTGTGACATAATTTAAAATGGCCCTGCAAAGCTGCCTTTGGTGGGGGAAATTTGCATCTGTAGACAATCTCCATTAATGCAGCCAGGACTTTCCCTGATTTAGGAAAGATTAACTAAGAGTCTAACACCTTTTAAGGTCCAAAAAGAGACATTTACATCTATTCTCTGTGATGGCTGTTACCTATAAAGCTTCATCTGTCTTTGGTCTCCACAACTCCCCTTATGTTAACTCAAGAATGTCTTTCTACAGACTTTAAGTCTTTAGGTAAAGCTTAACTCCTTTCAACCAATTGCCAGTCAGAACATCTTTGAATCTACCTATGACCTATAAGCCCTGGCATTGAGATGTCCTGTCTTTCTGGGCCAAATCAAGGTATACCTTACATGTATTGATTTATATCTTTGTCTGTGGCTTCTGTCTCTCTAAAATCTGTAAAACCAAACAGTAACTTCACCACCTTGGGCACACTTTCTCAGGATTTCTTGAAACTGTTCCCCAGGACATGGTCACTCATATTGGCTCAGAATAAACCTCTTTAAATATTTTGCAGAGTTTGGTTTTATTGTCAACAAATTTCCATCTTAGTTCATTTGTGCTGCTTTAATAAAATACCTGAGACTGGATAAAGAACAGAAATGTATTGCTCACTGTTCTGGAGGCTGGAAAGTTCAAGATCAAGGCTCTGGCAGGATTGGTGTCTGGTGGAGACTACACGCTGCTTCTGAGAGGAGGTTCCAGCTGAGCTTCCTGGGTCAAGTAGGGGCTCAGAAAGCTGTGAAACTCACTCCTTTCCTGCATCAGGACTTATTTTGGTCTTGGATGAATAATATTGAAGATATATGCTGAAAATATTCCTAACATCAGAATTTGTGCCTCTGTTTTCTTCCCCAAGAAAGCTATAAACAGTGAAAATTTTGTTGTAAGCTTCCCTGTGTCCTCTCTCCCTCTCTCCCTTCCCCCCCCCGAAACTAAAAGGAATGTTAAAAGCCAGTTTTTCTGTGATCAGCAGACCTTATCTATGCTTCCAATTCCAATTCCTTGTAAACACAGTTTGTTAAGTCCTGTGAGATCCTGTCTCCTTTGCCATGCCACTGCAAGGTCATAAAGTAGATAAACTTAAGTTACAATTCCGGTTCTCCTCAAGATCTGAGACATGTTAATTGTCTTTGTTTCTTGCTCTGGTAACATCTTCCCACTGCACGTATTTCCCTCCTTAAAGAGTTTAAAATGTAATTGAAAAATCTAACACTGGCTACCCACTTGGGACACCTTCCATGCTGTGGAAGCTTTGTACTGTCACTCTGCTCAATAAAACTTACAGCTTTTTTTCTCTTGGTCTGATCCATGTCTCTCTCTCACCATGGGCGGCCGCCCCACCAAATCTTTGGCATGGCTAAGGCAAGAACCTTTGGAGTTACATTTTGGCGAGCCAGCCAGGAGGATCTCCAGGAAAGGCATCTCGATCCTCACATGGTGAGTACGATTAGACCTCTTTCGCTTGCTATTCTGTCCTGTCTTTCCTTAGAATTCAGAGGCTAAACTGGGCACCTGTCAGCCACTTAAAGGCGATTAGCGCGGCCGCCGGACTAAAGACACGGGTGTCAGGCTGTCTGGAAAAGGGCTGTCTAACAACCCCCGACCCTCCAGGGCTGGGAACGTTGGTTAGTTTGGACCCAGTTCCTACTCTTTCACTTTCTGTGGTGGTCCCGAAGTACACCCGGGAGTTATCAGTAGACATTCTAGTCTTCCAGATTTCCTGGTTGAGACCATGGCCCCGCCAGAGGCTCCCCCTGCAAGGGTTACTGAGCGTGAGACCACCACATCTTCTGACCCCTGTCTCCTGGGTCCCAATGTCCACTGGCTAGACTTCTTTTCTCATCTTGCAAGCAAGGTTATTCCCACTAGGCAGGATCAAGATTCCCTATTTAGAAGTCTTAAATTTTTGGGGTAGTGCCCAGAGGATCCCTCTTCATGGTACCTTCCAGGGTTTAGGCAGGTATCATCGTTTGATGGCTATTTTAAAGGGCCAGTTCCCCACCATAGGGTATGGTCCCCTACATCAGGACAATTTAAAGACAGGCCTGTAATTTTCATGTGAATAGTAAAAACCTTAAGGCATTTCCTCCATTGCTTCCCACATAGGTTTTCCCCTTCCTTAGGGCCTCTCAAGTACAATCTGTGGTGCATGGGTACAGCTCTTAGAGCCGTTGAATTGCTATTTCAACCATTCAATAGTTGGTATTGGAAGGAAGAAAATATAGTCAGTTGGGACACAGGATACTGGTACTGCCTTAAGAGAGGGGCTTACTCCTTTGATGGCAAGTGGGGACAGAAGGCTAGAGTACAGCAGCTGTTCTCTCAGCCCTGGCCTAGAAGACATCTACCACCCCTTTATGCTTACTAAGCCTCCTGTTGCTAATTCAGAGATTCCTCCTTGAAGGACAGTTTTATGGCCAGGCCCACGTAAATTGGGCCTTAGCATGCAAGCATCAGTGGTGCCCCAGACCCGGGCCTTGCCACCCTGGAACAGGTAGAATGCATTGGCAGAAGGATCACAATAAATCCAACAGTCCTTGTGCCCCATTTAGTGGTCAATGGGCGCACAGCAGGGGCAAGGGAAGTTTCCATCCCGCTGGTAAGCATGGTTAAATCCGGTACATGGAGGGCTCAGGAAAAGCAGCCATGAGCCTTGAGCACAACTGGACCTGACCCTCGGGGGATGCCATAGGGAAGACGAGTCCCAAGACTAACCACGGGTGTGGGAATCCCTGTGTTTAAAATTCCAAATGGGCACCATGCCTTCAAAACTGGACACTCCCTTAAGATGGGACAAATTCGACCCTGAAACCTTAAAAAAGAAGCGGCTGATTTTCTTCTGTACCACTGCCTTGCCACAGTATTCCTTACAAAATGGAGAAACTTGACCCTCTGAGGAAAGTATTAATTATAACACCCTTCTACAGCTAGATCTTTTCTGTAAACAGAAAGGTAAATTTAGTAAAGTCCCTTATGTACAGGTTTTCTTTGCCCTTCGTGACAATACTGCCCTGTGCCAAGCCTGCAAGCTTTGCCCAAATGACAGAGGCCCACAGTTGCCTCCACACTCAGGGCCTCTTCCCTCAACCCCACTCTCCTCCCCAACTGACTCTCCTCCATCCGGTCCCACCGAAGTGTTAAAGGCACACCGGAAAGAGAACGTAAACTCCGTGAGCCAGGCACCCAAACTATCTCCCTTACAAGGGACTATGTCCCTTACAAGGAGGAGAATTTGGGCCCATTCACGTGCATGCCCCCTTCTCACTCTCAGATTTAAAACAAATAAAGGCAGATTTAGGGAAATTCTCAAATGATCCTTATAACTATATAGATGTCCTGCAAGGATTGGGGCAGTCCTTTGATCTAACATGGAGAGATATCATGTTGCTTCTTGATCAGACCTTAAGTCCTACTGAAAAAGAAGCAGCTTTAGCTGTAGCCCGGCAATTTGGGGATCTGTGGTACTTTAGCCAGGTAAATGATCGAATGACCCCGGAGGAGAGGGAAAAATTCCCCACAGGGCAACAGGCAGCCCCCACTGTAGACCCTTATTGGGATACTGACTCAGATCATGGAGATTGGAGCCGCAGGCATTTGCTAACTTGCATTTTAGAAGGGTTGAGGAAGACTAGGAAAAAGCCTATCAACTATTCAATGCTATCCACAATTACACAGGAAAAAGAGAAAAACCCCTCCGCTTTTCTAGAAAGGCTAAGGGAGGCCCTAAGAAAGCACACCTCCCTAACTCCATATTCTGTAGAAGGTCAACTTATTTTAAAGGATAAATTTATCACCCAATCAGTGTCTGGCATAGTCTGCTTTAGGCCCAGAACAAAATTTGGAGACATTATTAAACCTGGCAACCTTGGTATTCTATAACAGGGACCAAGAGGAACAGGCCAAAAGGGACAAGCAAGATAAGATAAAGGCTGCAGCCTTAGACATGGCCCTCAGACAGGCAGACCTTGGTGGCTCAGAGGGAACCAAGAGAAGAGGAGGCCAATCGCTTAGTAGGGCTTGTTATCAGTGCAGTTTGCAAGGACACTTTAAGAAAAATTGTCCAACAAAAAACAAACTGTCCCCTCGCCCATGTCCAATATGCCAAGAAGGTTTGAAAGGAAGGTTTGGAAGGTGCACTGCTCCAGAGGATGAAGGCCCTCTGGACCAGAGGCACCCAACCAGATGATTCAGCAACAGGACTGAATGTGCCTGGGGCAAGTGCCAGCTCATGCCATCACCCACACAGAGTCCCAGGTAAGGTTGACTGTTGAGGTCCAGGAAGTGGACTTCCTCCTGGACACTGGTGTGGTCTTCTCAGTTTTAATCTCCTGCCCTGAACGACTGTCCTCAAAGTCCATTACTATCCGAGGAATCTTAAGACAGCCTGTAACCAGGTATTTCTCTTGCCTCCTCAGCTGCCATTAGGAGACTTTGTTCTTTTCACATGCCTTTCTTGTTATGCCCAAAAGTCCCACACCCTTATTAGGGAGGGACATATTAGCCAAAGCTGGGGCCATTATCTACAGGAATATGGGGAACAAATTACCTATTTGTTGTCCCTAATTAAAGAAGGAATCAACTTTGAGGTATGGGCCTTAAAACGACAATTTGGAAAGGCAAAGAATGCCCATCCAGTCCAAATCAAGCTAAAAGACCCCACCACTTTTCCTTATTAAAGGCAATATACCTTAAGGCCTAAAGCTCTCAAAGGATTACAGGATATTGTTAGACATTTAAAAGCTCAAGGTTTAGTAAGAAAATGTAACAGTCCTTGCAATAACCGAATGCTAGGAATACAAAAAACAAATGGTCAGCAGAGACTAGTGCAAGACCTCAGGTTTCACTTGTCTAACTTCAGGCATTTTTTTCATCTATAATAACACAGCCTATTGATGCCTAAATGGCACTCTGAAAGAACAATGCTTTCTCTCCTTTCTAGCACCTCCCATGTCCATATATACTGAACAGGAGTTACAAAGTCTCCTTATACCCCAATCTCGCCACACGTGAGCCCTTATTGTCCCTTTTATTGTAGGAGTCGGAATACTGGGCAGGCTTGGGACTGGAATTGGAGGCATAACCTCCACCACCAATTTATTATAAATTATCACTAAAATTAAATGATGACATGGAATGAATTGCCAACTCCCTAGTGACCCTACAAAGCCAGCTTAATTCTCTAGCTGCAGTAGTCCTTCAAAACCGGAGAGCCCTAGACTTATTAACAGCTAAAAAAGGAGGAACTTGCCTCTTCTTAGGAAAAGAATGTTGCTATTTTGTTAACCAGTCAGGAATCATTACTGAAAAGGTCAAAGAAATAAGAGAACAAATAGAAAGTAGAAAAAAGGAGCTTGAACACTCAGGGCGCTTGAATATGTTTAACCAATGGATACCTCGGCTCCTCCCCTTTCTAGGCCCTGCGACAGCCATCCTACTCGTTTTTGGGCCTTGCATTTTTAACCTCCTTGTCAAATTTGTTTCCTCAGGATCGAGGCCATCAAGGTACAAATGGTCTTACAAATGGAACCTCAAATGAGCTCAACTCACGGCATCTACCAAGGACCCCTGGATCGACATACTGGTCTCTGACTAGCCTAAAAAGTTCCCCTCTGGAAGACACCACAACTGCAGGGCCCCTTCTTCGCCCCTCATCAGCAGAAAGTAGCCAGAACGACTGCCGTCCAGTTCCCAACAGCAGTTGGGGTGTCCTGTCTAGAGGGGAGACTGAGAGGAGGTTCCAGCTGGGCTTCCTGGGTCAAGTAGGGGCTCAGAAAGCTGTGAAACTCACTCCTTTCCTGCATCAGGACTTACTTTGGTCCTGGATGAATAATATTGAAGATATATGCTTAAAATATTCCTAACATCAGAATTTGTGTGTGTGTTTTCTTCCCAAGAAAGCTATTAACAGTGAAAATTTTGTTGTAAACTTCCCTGTGTCCTCGCTCCCTCTCTCCCTTCCGCCCTCCAAAACTAAAAGGAATGTTAAAAACCAGTTTTTCTGTGATCAGCAGACCTTACCTATGCTCCCAATTCCAATTCCTTGTAAACACAATTTGTAAAATCCTGTAAGATCCTGTCTCCCTTGCCATGCCGCTGCAAGGTCATAAAGTAGATATACCAATATCTCACCTTCCAAAGGTTACTGCTATTGTTGTATTGGGGATTAAGTTTCAACATGAATTTTGAAGGGGACACCATTATTTTCAAACCAGAGCAAGGGGTTCAAACCTAAAGGCCAGAGGACCAGTATGGAGGTCATGGAGAGAGAATGGTGATGAGGATAGATGAGAAATAGTGGCTATAATGAGATATTGGTATATCAAGACATATTTAGGTTGTAGGATTTGGTCACTGCTTTGATGTGAGTTGCGGCAGAGAAAGAGGAGTTAAGAATGTAGACCAAGTACGTGGCTTGGGCAACTGAATGATGATGGTATTATTTTCAGAGACAGGAAACACAGAAGAGAAGCAAGTTTGGGAGGATGGGATAGTGGGTTCAGGAGAAGATAATAAATTCAGTGTTGTAAAGCTAAAATTGAGGTGAAATTGGATGTCCAATTTTAGAAATTCAGTAGCAGGAGATTGGGTCTAGGGCATGGTGCTCAGGAGATATTTTTTCTGGAATATATATTTCAGTAAATATTTGGGTATATATTTGAAATAAAATTGAATCAGGAGTTTGTGTGAAATGAGAAGAGGGTATTAAGGAACATGGACATTTAAAGAATGGGCAGAGATAAAGGAGACAATAAAGGAGGCTGAGAAAAAGTGGGCCAAAGAGGTAGGAGGATTGTCAGGAATGTGTCATGTCATGGAAGTCAAGGATGGAGTAGAACAGTGTCAAATGCTGCTTAGATATCAGGTAGGATAAGAACTGAAAAGCTCATTGATCCCTGGAAGAGCAGGGAACACAAGATAAGCAATCAGGCTACTAAAATGGAATCAATGCAAAGATGAACATACACATTCTTTACTACCAGGGGCCCATACTGGGACAGTGGCTGATGAAATTTACATCGAAAAGCACTTGGAAGATTTTGAAAGGAACCCAGGAGCTTTCATCACGGATTGCCAAGTACTTTAATTAAATAGCCTGTGTTTTATCTGACAGTTTCAATTTTATAAAATCCTCTCTTGTTATGTTTGTTTGTATCTGTCAGAACTAGTCATCAGATGTTTTTGTTCAAGGAAATATGGTGCTTGTATATTTTAGGAACAGACATGATTAGAACAAGAGATACAACTCACCCTGTTTTCTACCTTCTTGTACTTAAATGACTTAGACAAGAACATACATGGGTTGCATCTAGAATTCTCTGTCTTCTACTCCTCTCAGGACTCCTTTATTCAGGCATCTATACCTCAAATCTTCTGCACCAGTATGATGTGTGAGATTTTAGGTAAAGCTAACCTACCATGAATAGAGTAAATGATTGTTCATTGCTGTATTCACAGTGCCTGATACAGGTCTGACATATAGTAGGCACTTAACAAATGTTTGTTCAATTAATGGATGAAAGCAAAATGGGAAAATCAATTTTAAGTTTTGTGTCTAACAAAAAAGGGAAAAAATAAACAAACAAACAAAACAACAAAAACAGCCACAGAAAATATCTTTTGGGTGCTTAGAGTTTGTTTTCCTGACCAGTTTAAAAAATTTATGAGCTGTTCGAGAGCTCAATCATATATCTGAAGTGACCAACAAAAGTCTTTTTTTCCTTCTATTTTCTTTCTTTCTTTTCTTTTCTTTTCTTTTTTTTTTTTTTTTGAGACAGAGTCTCTTTCTGTTTTCTGTTGCCCAGGCTGGAGTGCAGCGGCACAATCTTGGCTCACTGCAACTTCTGCCTCCTGGGTTCAAGCGATTCTTGTGCCTGAGCCTTCTGAGTAGCCGAGATTACAGGTGTGCTCCATGACACCCAGATAATTTTTGTATTTTTGTAAAGATGGGGTTCGCCATGTTGGCCAGGTTGGTATCGAACTCCTGGACTCAAGTGATCCGCCCACCTTGGCCTCCTAAAGTGCTGCGATTACAGGCATGAGTGAACACACTCAGCCCAAAAGTCCTAATATTCCCCAAGGGTCCCCAAATGGTAGGTAGCTGAAGGTGAGGGCTCTCTAGTCCCTCACAATATCCAGAAATAGAGGGATGTTTTAGACTCAAACTAGGGTTAGTCAAAATGCATAAAAATTAATATTCTGATTTTCAAAAAGCAAAGAAGAGGAACATTGGCATGCCAAATTTATTTGGGTTATAATATGGGTCCAAAGGGCATATATATATATTAGAAGAAATCATGGCAAATCTTATGAACCAAGGGAGGATTGAAAAGCAGTTGACTGCTGGCTTGCCTTATGCTTTTCTGATACCATCATTAGTGAGGCAGCCTTTGGTCCTCAGAGAAACACTTGAAATGGGCTAAGCAAACCTACTGGCATTTCCAATAACACATCCAACCTTTCTAACAGACTGCTATTACAGTTACTTAGCCTTGTTTCCTCTGGCTAGCCTTCCAAGCTATATAATGTGGTACAGTTTGAGCAAAGATAAGTATTTAGAATTAGTTATATGGCAGCTTTTGGCAGAGGTTTGTTCCTGAAAATTCACATTTCATATGCTCCTTAAGAAATATTCAATATGAAATGCTAATTAAAGTGTTTACCCAAGAGCCACTTTTTAATATCACTTGCTTCCCTTTCTTTCATTTTCTTTCACTTTACTCTCCTTTTCCTACTAGAGGCACACTGGGTCAATATCCAATTTTATTTGGGTTAAATAGGAAACATTACCTTCAAAAATTTAACAAATGATTTGAGGACACTTTGTCTTCAATAGTTCCATGCCAAAACATTACATTTTGTACATGTTGTATTAATTCAAATGACTGTAATCTTTTTAAGAGAGTTTTTTTCCTCTATTTCCTCTATTGAACTCTATTCAGTACCATCATCATAGCCTATCACAGGGCATTTTTGTTGGTATTAACTCCCTATAAATTCCTGTCCAAAATACCTGTAGGCTATTTTGTCAAATTGAAGCTAAAACATTATTTTTACCAGAGGACTGTATGTTCCAGAATGTAAACTTTTAACATGCTGAATGAATCCTAATACTGAAATTTATCATGAATAAAATTATGTTTTCTCATATTCCCTAGTTGCAGTCAGTCTTATCAAACATTTTAACAGATGAATTATGTTGAAAATAGACAGATATTCATGTCCCTGATTATGGAAAGTATATCATTTTATATGTCAACTTGACTGGACTAAGGGATCCTCAGACAGCTGGTAACACATTATTTTTTGGGGGGTGTGGGTGGTCTGTGAGGGTGTTTCTAGAAGAGATGAGCATTTCAGTCAGCAGACCCAGCAAACAATATTGCTCTCACCAATGCTGGTGGGCATCATCCAATCCACTGAGGGCCTAAATAGAACAAAAAGCCATAGAAAACACAAATTTGCTCCCTGTTTTAGCTGGAACATCCATCTTTCCCTGCTCTCTAACATCCATGCTCCTGCTTTCAGGGCCTTTGGCCTTAGACTGGAACTCACACCATCAGCTCCCCTGGTTCTCAGGCCTTCTGACTTGAACTGAATTATACCACTGGCTTTCCAGCTTCTTCATCTTCTAAATAGAAATTTGTGGGACTTCTCAGCCTCCATAATGATGTGAGCCAAATTCTATAATGAATCTATTACTCAGTCTATCTAGCTAGCTAGCTATCATTTATCTATTGTTTCTCTAGGAAACCCTAGTTAATACAAAATGTATACAATGTATTCCTGTTTTTATCATGTATTTGTTAATGATTTAATTCAATCTTTAGTTGCTGGAAGCAGCATCTCTCAGGGTACTCATCTCATTGTTTGTAAAGAAGTCATATGGTCAGGACTTCAAGTTAGTTAAAGAGATTTTAAGTTTCTCTGCTATATATCAATAATCAGTTTCTAAAAAGACATCTGTAGTAGCTGTGTGCTTATATAAGTCAATTTTCCCTGTTCAGGTTGATGTCAGGATGAAACAATATGTATAAAGAGATTAGTTATTGGGATTAATGTCAAAGTTCTACAATGAAGTCAAATAAATGTGTAAGTGTGTACATGTATATGTATTCATATAGTATGTGAATTTATAATTTTTTCCAGTTACCAACACCAAACAAATATTTTGGAGGAATGGAAAACAAATTCATATAATGTGTTCACATATTTCATGTTTTGTCTTAGAGAAACGGGAGGAAAGCAGCAGTGTTCACTGGGCATTTCTGTTTTGGAGAGCTTTATCTAAAAATATACATGTCTATTATAACATGGAAGATAAAATGCAAAAACACTCCCTCTCTTGCACTGCTCCTGAGAGGCAGTGCAGCTCAGTGGTTAAGAGGTTGGGTAGAGGAGTCATATCTTGGCCTTACCATTTTACAGATGGATGCCCTTGAGCAACTTCTCTGTGCCTCAGTTGCCTTTACATAATAAAAAGATAACAATAATGACCACTTCATAGAATTATTTTGAGAATTAAATAAAATAAGGTGAAATAATGAAATAAAACAAATGTGTAAAGTATTTAGAAGACTGTATACTTCAAAAATATTAGCTATTAGTGTTAGCACTGGTAGCCCTGAATTAAAAAAAAAAAAAAAAGAGGATAACAAGCAATAAAATACATGGGGTAGAGGATAGTAGAAAATCATAGCAGGTATTTATAAAGTAAAAAGACGTGAATTGCCAGTGGAACATAATTTTAAAGTAAATCGAATAGAAATGTGTTATGACTTAGTGAATATTTGATAGTGTGGCCTTTCAACAAGAATATTAAATAAAAGGGATTTTAGGCAAAGGATGTTTTGTCCTTAAATTTATAAAGCATGTCTTTGTAAGCTAATATTGAACAGTGAACTTTGGGCTAGAAGATCTTGATCTGCTCTGTAATTATTATTATTATTATTATTATTATTATTATTATTATTACTGAGTCTCATTCTGTCACCCAGGCTGGAGTGCAGTGGTGTGATCTTGGCTCACTGCAACCTCCACCTCGTGGGTTCAAATGATTCTCCTGCCTCAGCTTCCTGAGTGGCTGGGACTACAGGCGTGCGCCACCATGCCTAGCTAATTTTTGTATTTGTAGTGGAGACGGTGTTTCACCATCTGGCCAGGCTGGTCTTGAACTCCTGACCTCACGTGATCCCTTCGTCTCTGCCTCCCAAAGTACTGGGATTACAGGTGTGAGCCACTGTGCCCGGCCCACTCTGCAATTATTTTTACAAACAACTTCTTCGTAATATAATTTGCATTCCACTAAACTAACTCATTGTAAAGAGTGCAGTTCAATGATATTTAGTAAATTTATAGAGTTGTGAAACCATCACCACAATCCAGTTTTAGAACAGTTCCATTATATCCCACAGAAATTGCTTCATGCCCATTTTTAGTTAATTCCTAGCTCCAGCTTCCCAGCCCTGATAATCACTGACATGCCTCTGGTTATATATATTTAAATTTTATGGACATTTATATAAAAGAAATCACACAATATGTAGTTTTTTGGGTCTGGCTTCTCTTACTTTGCATACTGTTTTTGAAGTTTTTCATGTGGTAGGATGTATCAGGAGTTCATTTCTTTATATTGCTTAACAGGATCTCATTATATTGATATATCCCCCCCCCCTTTTTTTTTTTTTGAGATGGAGTCCCCTCTGCCATGCAGAATGGAGTGCAGTGGCATGATTTTGTCTCACTGCAACCTCTGCTTCCCGGGTTCCAGTGATCCTTGTGCCTCAGCCACTGGAGTAGCTGGGATTACATGTGTGCACCACCACACCTGGCTTATTATTATTATTATTTCGCATTTTTAGTAGAGACAGTGTTTCACCATGTTGGCCAGGCTGGTTTTGAACTCCTGGCCTCAAGTGATCTGCCCACCTTGGGCTCCCAAAGTGCTGGGATTACAGGTGTAAGCCACCACACCGGAACTATATAACACATTTTTAATCCATTCTCTACTTGAGGAACATTTGGATTACTTACAATCTTTGGCTGTTATGAACAATGCTGTTGTAACCATTCATGTAGCTGCCTTTGTAGGGACACATGTTTTTAATTTTTTTTGGTAGAATGCTAGGAGTGGAATTCCTGGCTTGTGTTATAAGTTTATGTTTAATTTTTAAGGAAACAGCTCAACTATTTTCCAATTAATTTGTACAACTTTGTTTTCCAAACAGGTTGTGCAATAGTCTGTACAGAAATTTAGAATTTTACATTCCCACCAGCAATGCACGTTTCATTTTTTAACCTCACCAACACTTATTGCTGTACCTTTTTGATTGTAGCCATTTTTGTGGGTGTGTAGTGGTATCTCATTGTGGTTTTAATTTCTGTTTGTCTAATGATTTTGAGGATCTTTTTATGTGATTATTAGCCACTTATATCTTTGATCAAATATCTGTTTAAATCTTTTCTCCATTTTAAAAACTGGCTAAATTAGGTTGTCTGGTTTGTAAGAGTTCTTTATATATTCTGGATATAAAAGTCCTTTATCGGCCGGGCGCGGTGGCTCACGCCTGTAATCCCAGCACTTTGGGAGGCCGAGGCGGGTGGATCATGAGGTCAGGAGATCAAGACCATCCTGGCTAACAAGGTGAAACCCCGTCTCTACTAAAAATACAAAAAATTAGCCGGGCGCGGTGGCGGGCGCCTGTAGTCCCAGCTACTCGGGAGGCTGAGGCAGGAGAATGGCGTGAACCCGGGAAGCGGAGCTTGCAGTGAGCCGAGATTGCGCCACTGCAGTCCGCAGTCCGACCTGGGCGACAGAGCGAGACTCCGTCTCAAAAAAAAAAAAAAAAAAAAAAGTCCTTTATCAGATATATCACTTGCAAAGGTTTTTTTTTTTTCCAGTTTATGGCTTATCTATTCATTTTCTTAATGATGTCTTTTGGAGCACAAAGTTATTTGTTTACTTTCTTTTATAAATTAAATGTACTTATTTATTTATTTACTTTGATGTTAAACTCTTATTTATTTACTTTGATGTTAAACTTTACCAATTTATTATTTTATGGATTGTGCTTTTGGTGTCATATCTAAGAACTCTTTTCCTAATGCAGGGTCACAGTAATTTTTTCCTAAATTTTCTTCTATAAGTTTTGTTAGTTCTTGCAGTTAAATCTTTGACCCATTTTGAGTTAATTTTTGTGTATAGTATGAGGAAAGGGCCTAAGTTTTTGTTTTCATTTTTTGAATATTGATATCCAAGTGTCCCAGCACCATTTGTTGAAAAGTCTAAACTTTGCCTATTCAATTGTTTGGCATCTTTGTGAAAAACCAATTGCCCATAAATGTAAGAACTTTAATTCTGTTTCATTTATAATATCTATATGTCTATCTTTATGCCAGTCATGAACTGTCATAATTACTGTGTCTTTATAGCGAGTTTTGAAGTCAGATAGTGTAAGTTCTGTGTATTTTTTCTTAAAATATAAGATTTAAACACAGGATAAATTTGGGGATATATATGTGTATGTGTGTTTTCTGTTCATCTTTTGGTAGAAACAAGCAAGCAAACAAATAAAAATAAACAACTCCCCCAACAAAACCCAGAATGATCTTCTATTGTCTAGAGAATCAAATAATTAGGCTCATATGGTAAGTGAATATATATATATTTTGTTTTGGTACACAGTTTACATTTGCTAGCTCTTATTCATTAACACCTCTGACAAAATTTGTGTGTGTGTGTGTGAGAGAGACAGAGAGAGAGAGAGAGAGAGAGAGAGAGAGAGAGAGAGAGAGAGAATTTTCCATTGGCTAAACTGGCAAGTATCAATGGTGTGCAGTGGACTGGAACTAGCTTTTATGCTTTCACTGTGCTTCCAGAAAGTTAACTGCATGCATTGTATCGCACAGCAGAAACCCTCAAAATCAAAAAATTATTGTTTGGTGTAAAGGTTTCTCTACTATTTGAATTGATGTCCATCTCTCCTAATCCCCACTGTTGTCCCAGTCATTTAACAGAAATAAGGAAGACAACAAAATAAAGTTAACGAGAAAGGCACAAACCATATTTTGCAACGGAACTGCCTCTACACTATTCCTACATTTATATGATTGCACTAAATTATTTATGTGGATCTTTCTGCCTCAGCCTCCCAAAGTGTTGGGATTAGAGGCAAGAGTCACTGTACCCAGCCCTATAAATTATTTCAAGGTCAAATTTTGTCCTTGAAATCAATTAAATTCAAACTGCCAATATCCAACTCTATAAAAGCATTTAAGAATTAAATTATTCATATAGAGTTTTTTTTAAATGAAAACCTACTAGCTTAACCACTTGCTATTAGACCAGGTGTCCAAATAAATCCCAAGCAAATTCAAGCTCAGTATCTTTTGAGCTAAGCCAATGTCAGATATGGGGTTTTAAAAGGAGGAACATTAAAGCCAATGACCAGGCTCCATTAGCAGAAAGAGCTGAAAGAAAATTCCTATAGCTATTTTATTTTTTGAATCCAGCAGATATTATGCTCAAAACCAGTGTTTTCCAACCTAGGTTCTCATCAGAATCTCTTGGAGAAAATTTAAAAAATACAAAGATCAGGTCTCCACACTCAGAATTTTTTAACTTAATTAGTCTATATGAAACAGGACATCATTAGATAATTCTAACGTGTAGTCAGTTTTAGAAAACCATTATTATAAATAAAGCCTCCAAAAGGCAGTTAAGCATGCCATCATGATGGATGCAATTGAAATATTTTTTTCCAGGTTAAAATACTTATACTGAATAAAACATGGATACCCTTGGAGAAGGTCACTGTAGACCATCATGGTGTATTCACTGGACCCCAGCACCTGTTGCTATTCACATGATCTCATCCGTTCCATTCACATTGTCACAATCTAACAGAAAATAACCCAAAGAACTGATGTGTTCTCGTTGCTCCTCATATACTTGCTTTTCTGATAACTATACCTTATACATGTGGCAGTTCAACAATTGCTACAATATTTTTATCTGAGAAATCAAGCTTTTTAAACTAGCATTTTTCTTGAGTGCCAAGAAAAATAAGGTTTTACTATTTTAATGGCTGTATTTACAAATTAATACAGCTCTGTTAGTCGTCAAGTTTTTAGGATTTAGTTTTTTTATAACTGATAATTATTTTGAAATGTTTCATACCATACCAGAAATCTCTAATTGGTTTAAGATATTTAATATAAAGTCATTATATCTGTGGTGAGGATGAGGATCTGCAAGGTAAAAAAGACTTTAGGATGTTTGGTGGAACTACTCTAACAACTTATGTAGGTCTATTTGAAGAAATAAAGGTAATTATTTGAAGTCTGTTTATGAAAGACCAGGAAAGCCTTGTTGATAAGTCATAATATCCAAAATTGAATTTGGTGATGTGCACTATTAAAAAAAATATGTTATTACTTCCTAGCATAAATTGTTTAGGAATACATATTTGTCTTTATAAGGAAGTAAGGGAAAATATTATTCTTAACCCAGATGCGTCAAATAGATGCTAAAAATGATCCACTTTCTTGCCCAGCTACTTCTATCATACCCTAAATGATAAGGTTTTTTCTAATAGAGATAGTTGGTTAAAAGCCAGAGAAGATTTTTTTCTACATAGTGAGTCAATCTTAATACATATCTCTGAGAGTTTTCAAGTTTTCTTATCCCCTTTGCATGATTATGAGAGACTAGAAGACATTTAAAATCTGGGTTTTGAAAGTAGAAGAGCACAGGCTGTTGGTTCTGTCATAGCTCAAGATTCACCAGTGATGCTGAGCAGGAGATTGGAAGAGGAGTTGGGTCTTAGAGCTATGTGGCACCATTTGGGTAGGGCAAGGCATCTAGCAATGGTGTTTCAGTCACATAAGTAAGACCCAGCTACTTCAGGGAATGGCATTCTCCAGTCAACACCAGGGGTCAGATGTAGCAGAGCTCAACCAAGGTGGATGGTGTGGGGAAACACTCAGAAATCCAGGAAGGCTGCTGGTAAGTATAGAAGTATGAACACAGCACTCAGATGGCTCGAGATCCCATTGACAAGTCAATTTGCAGAAAGCTAATTCACTAAAGGGTCAAATGTCAAATGACCACTTGATCAAATTTTTCAATTATCAAAATATCATATTGAAAAATAGTCCTTTTGAATATCTTCAATTAATATATTTTACTCAGCTGTATTTTAAATAATGCTCAAATTTATAAATGCTGAAAATCACGAGTCATTTAGTTTTCTTATGAGTATGAGTATGTTCCTGAAGAATAGGTTCATGAGAATATTCATATTTCATATACTCAAGAAGAATACATTCTTAATCATATCTAAACAAAGTGTGTCTTCAATATTGTTTTAATTTAATATACTCAAATTAATTTAATATACTCAAAATAAATGTTTCAACAAAATTGTTGGCACACTAGAAAATTTATTACATTCAGTGAATTAGTCATTCAAAAAATTGCTCCTTCAGGGAACTGATTTTTGATGACTTGGTCTGTTTTCAATGCGGACTGAAATTAGTGGGGCAGGATTAGGGTTGGGATGAGGGTGGTGGGATCTGGAAACAATACAGAATGGCTCTCGTTGAGAATGAAGTGAGGGCAGCCTAGGACATAGTGCCTGTGTCCATTGCTGGGGCCAGCCTGCAGGAAAAGGGGTGCTATAATAAGCCTAGATAAATGGAGGCATTGGGCTTGAGGCTACTTATTTATATCCTGCTAAAACTCAAATTGCTCTGAAAATAAATAGTGAGGCTGGATCTGTAGAAGATTAAATGAGTTGACCCAGCTGTGGGAGAACTGGGGCAGGCAGAAGCTGGGGAAACAGGAATGGGGGCGAGACATTCCACTGAGCAGGCCAAATTTATGCCATCTCAGACTTAACATATCATCTCTGCTTCTTTGAAATCATGGGCAGTTCCATTAAAGGAAATGATTCAAGTTAGGTTTGGCTGAGATTGGGGGCACCTGATTCTATAGATTTATTTCCTAGGAAGGAAGCAGTATTTCTATTTCTTACTTTGTGCGAGTCCTTCACAGTGAATATGGGGCACACTGCTTGCCATATCGAAGTAGTTAAAAAAAATGCCTGTTGACTTGATACAGTCATATGTGGACACTTGCAGACTCTTTTCAAGTCATTTATGGACACTTCCATGACAAAGTTCTGATTTATACTTTGTGTGGCAAATTTTTCAGTGTTTAGAGTTCATGGGCATATGCTTGGAAAACAGAGGTACTATAGTCATTCCTTGATATTTGAGGAGATGCTATGGTCTGGATGTTTGTGTCCCCCCAAAATTTGTATGTTGATCTTTAATCCCCCAAATTATGGTATTGGGGGACATTTTAAGAGATGATTAGGTCATGAGGGTAGAGCCCTCATGAGTAGGATTAGTGCCCTTGTAAAACAGCCCAAGGGAGCTTGTTTGCCCTTTCTCTACCATGCGACGACACAGTGAGAAGACGGTTGTCTCTGAACTAAAAAGCAGACCTTTACCAGACACCGACTTTGCCAGTGCCTTGATCTTGGACTTTCCAGCCTCCAGAACTGTGAGAAATAAGTTTTTGTTGTTTTTAAGCTATTCGGAGGAAATAAGCTATTTATAAGCTTATTTATGGTATTTTGTTATAACAGCCTGAGCCAACTAAGACAAGATGAGAGAAATTTACATACAAGATACTGCATTGAGACAATGTACTTTGCACTCAGAGTGCTGAAACTTAAAGGACATTTAGAAAACTGTGAAGATTAAAAAGCCCCAGGCGTTTACATAAAGCCTCGGGTGAGATCTTATTTTCAGTAAACTAAACTCACTTTCTCATAGCTTCTATATGTTCAGGCTCTTTAATTACATATAGCAATTAGGAACACCTCAAGCATAAAAAGAATTATTCAAGACCAAGGTTATTTGCCTCATCAGTAACTGCACCAATAATCAAGGTACATACCTCTACAGCTGTTCTAAACAACATCAGTGAGAAATACCAACTGAGACAATTATATAGTAACCATGGAAGCCTAAAAGTTGTGTTGATATGACTGGGATGGGGAAAACTCTAATACTCTGGAGACAGAAGCTTTTCAAAGTGGAACTTGGGGCTGTGCAATGTATGAAAGAATTACAAACTATAGCATTTTTAGGGCTGAAAAAGACCTGAGGCTATTTAGCTCCAATCTTCCTGTTTTTCTCAAATGCCTCATTTTTCAGATGAGAAAACACAGGCAAAGAGCCTGCTCACTGTTACACAATTAATCAGTCCCAGAGCCAGAGCTAGAGTCCAAAATCTACCCAGCAACAAGGAAGCCATCCAAAGTTCTGGGGTTTTTGTGCCCTTTTGTAGAATTACTCTGTGCCAGGTTAGAGCTAATTTAGGGCTTGTCATTGGAATTCTAACATCAGGATGACCACTGTTTTTGGCTATGGCACAACTATAGAATAGTTATCAATATTTCTCTTGGGCAGAAGAGGGCAAAATACGAATCATTGCTGCCTCCTCTTCATCTTCATTCCTGGCAAATTCTCCTATGGACTTTCTCCAAATGGATATATAAATAAAGCCTTTGATGAATATCTTTTGCGTGTGATAGTATGTGTGTCTGTGCTTCAGAAATACTATTTCTCAAAGGATATGAGTGTGTTTCCTAAAGGATAAAAGTGTGAGTGCATAGCTGAGCTTATGTGTTGAACTTGGATCTGTTTGTGCTTGGTGTTTAGATATTTTTAGCTAGAGATGACTAGATTTTCAGCTAATTTGCTAAAAAGAAATTTGTGCTATGTCTGCTGTAGGGCAGGATGATGGAATTGGAGATTATTTCACCTGGCTTTCATCCCCAATCCCTGCGAATTCTTTGGAGATGGAAAATTTAGAGCGGGCTTTCATATTTTTTGTACCGGTTGTGAACAATAAGAAGCTTGAAAATCAGAAGAGGCACTCTTACTACAGGAACAACACCCTTGGGTACAAATGTTTTGTAAAATTCCAATAAACCAATCATTGTCCTCTTTGTGAATTACTGCCTTGTCTTCTGGGGAGTGAGCAGGGCAAAAAGAGTTGAAAGTGAATACTGGAGTCTGACACTCTGGGTAGGATGTTGATTAGGCTTTTTACCAGCTGTGTGATTTTAAGGAAACTCTTTTTGGTTTGTTCGTTTTTATTATACAATCACATCTACACATGAACTTCACTCTTAGGAGCTGTATAAGGGACAGTCACACATCCAAAGATCTCCAATGCAATAACTTTCACAAATTTCTTTCTTTCTTTCTTTCTTTTTTTTTTTTTTTTATAAGGAGTCTTGCTCTGTCGCCCAGGCTGGAGTGCAGTGGCGCCATCTTGGCTCATTGCAAGCTCCACCTTCCGGGTTCACACCATTCGCCTGCCTCAGCCTCCCTAGTAGCTGGGACTACAGGTGCCTGCCACCACGCCCAGCTATTTTTTGTATTTTTAGTAGAGACGGGGGTTTCACCCTGTTAGCCAGGATGGTCTCGATCTTCTGACCTCGTGATCTGCCTGCCTTGGCCTCCCAAAGTGCTGGGATTACAGGCATGACACAAATTTCTATAACTCTCTGACTCTTCAGGTACAGGTAAGGGGAATGACTAATGGCTTGTGACAAATATTAGTTGAATGAATACATTATTAAATACATATTTAATGAATAAAAATATCTAATATTTGAAGGATATTTCATACTTTTATCTTGTTTTACCTTAATATCTGGTGAAGTGAGTGTTTTCATCCTCCTTTTTAGTTAAGGGAATTGAGAGTCAAAAAGAGGTCTAACAATAGTTGTGAATCAGGACTAGACAATACCAGTTTTGAAGTACCTGGTTCTGACTCCAAAGACCTGCAATTATAACTTACACAATTGCAAAGAGCTACACATCATTTCTAAAGACGCAAGAATGTCTGTCTACCTTTGTTTGCAACAGTACAGGCTCAGCCTGACGAATTCCCACCAGAGATTCATACCTGATGTCAAGGGCATACTCTGTTGAGAAACCTGGGTGGCACTGTCTCATAGTGTGACTCTGTTGTCATAAGAAAAGGCTGTTGGTACAGACATTTAAAAACAGAAGATCAGAGTTTCAAGGTTGAGCTTGTATTCATCTCCTTACTGCACAGGAAGCCCTTTGTAGTGCAAACCAATTCCTTCAAGCAACATGTGTCATCCCCTCAGGAGATATCACCTTCTACTCTTTGATTTCACCTAGAACCTGCCTTAGGGAGACTGTGTTCTATGGACAAGCTACTCCTGTAAAAGACATGCTGAAGAAAACAAAAGATTAAGGACAAAAAAGGAAGCAAAACCACTGCGATTGAATTCTCATATAGCTGATGTTAAGATTTGGATAGCTAAAAAATAATGTTATAATTTTTTCTTATAAAACAATTCCCAATAATAAGGTTAAATATATCTGAATAGAAGAGCCAATATTTTAAAAATTTTATAATAATGTATGTATTTCCCTCCTATTCAACTGGGATAAATTCAGCTTTTCTTTTTTGGAAGAAGGAGCTAAAGTATATTTTTCTCCTTTTTTTTTCCCTATTAAGGGAAATAGCCGAGAGAATCTCAGGATTATGCTACAACATATGTTAACATTTAAAACCATTAACTGAATATATATAAAACAATACCTATCATGACAATTTTTGAATATACATTTTATACTGAAAAGAAATGCGAAAAGTTCCTGGACATTTTATGCTTATGGGTGTTGAGCACACTCTCTTCCTCCCACCTTTTCTGCAGGGTGAACTATTATTCCTTTCAAGGCTCACAGTGAAAGCTGTAATGACTTCACTTCTCTTTTTGGCAAAATTACCCGTGCCTGTAACACTTTTGCACAAACTGTAGAACTCAATTTTCTTGAGGTACTGTCATTATCTGTGCCCTCCTGTTCCTTCTGATCTCTGAGTTACTTGAGAACAAGGGCTTGGTCTTATTTGGCACTGAATGTTTCAGACCCAGCCTTGGGCTCAATGAATGTTTGTTGAGTGAATAATATAGGCCATGTCAGAAGCATACTCATATTCTTCTCACGGTGTCTGAGGTTGAAATGCAGTGAGCCTGACATAAGCTCAAACCTGTCTGGAGCCAAGTATAGGTCAGATCCCATGTCTCCTTCAATTTTGGTAGAGTATGAGTCAGTGAGCCTAAATTATTTCCCCAGTTCAATCATCTACTATCTCTGGTTGTCTTAATTAAGCTTCAAAAATCTGTGCCTTCTTCCATCTCATGGGAATGGTGAAAAATAAATGAGATCACATCTAAAGAACCAGGGTTTCTTATTAGAGAGTACATTATTATCATTATATCAAGCAAGCTCCGGGCACTCTCCAGAGTGCTAAAAAATCTACCCTCAGGAAAAACAAAACAAATCAAAACTGGAAACATTTTTACTCTACCTATGCTGTTTCTATTATTAAACAATACACGTCTTGTGAACCTCTATGGCATGACCTTAAAAAAACTGAAAAAATAATAAGACAAACAGCAAGAAAAACAAGTCTAAGCATAGCTTATTTTTTTAATGTGTGGGGACATTGATTTTTATAACTTGCCTCAATGTGCAGAGATATTTAAAATAAAGAAATAATCATTTTTGCCTATTTTGAATTGCAGGAAAGCATATTGATATGTGAACTATATAGATTCTAATAAAATACTTTTAAAAACACTTGTTTTTCAGGTTATTTTGGAAAAGTATGCTTTAGTTAATGAGTTATTTAGAAAAATCCACTGATCTATGTTACCTTACATTTATAGTGCTTTTACATTTACTGTTTTTTCATCTATAAATTAGTTGTGAAAAATACACTGTAAATTGATGAGTAAACAGCAGTATTCATATATATATACACATATATATACACACACACACACACCCTTATGGACTGTAGTTTGTGGGAAAAGTGCCAATTTGGAATCCAATTTTCCTTTTGCTTTTCCTAAGTGTGTTAGGAGAATTCAATTTCTCTACATCTTTTTTCCTCTGTCTCTGTCTCTCTTTCTCCCCAGCTTTCCACTGTTCTCTTAGCTACTATTTCTGTATTTTTCTTAGTTTCTATATACTTGAGCCTCCAATTGTGCTTTTACCTGAGGGCTAATTTAGGAGTAATTTTCTGGTACCTTAGAAACAGCATTCAGAAAGCATAGTCCTTGCCTCCTTCCCAGCAATGCCTGTGGAGCTGACAGGCAGGAACAGAGGCAGGCAGGCTATAATCCATTACTCAGCGTTCCCTAACTCTATTCCACCTGACTCTATTGCCCTTAACTTGACCCCAGTCTATCTGTATGTGCTGGAGGTTGACCATCCTAACACTGAACTTTATCATTCATACCACAGACACTAGAAAGGAGAATTCTTTCTGATAAATTGACTACTGTCAGAAGAACCAGGGTTATGGTAACATTTCACACATATGAAAAACACACACACACACACACACACACACACACACAAAGAACCACTTCATCTTGCATAAAAGCACTTCCTCAGGAATGGGAGTGGGAGTTAATCCAGGTGAGGAGGAAGAGCAAATGGATTTCCTCAAAGCTCCATAAAAAGGTAAATCACTTGTAGGAAAATATGGGAGAAAGTGGTTGAACCCCAGGGCATTCATCCATTCATTCATTCGTTCATTCTTATGGAGTATTAATTTCACACTAGGCACTATACTAGGCTCTTGGAGATATAAAGATTTGAAAATTCAATCAGTAATGTCAGCAAGATGGTAGAATAGAAGCCCTGGATCCATCTTTCCTCAATGGAAACAATGATTCTATAATAAAATACAAACTAATTTACTTTGTGAGAAATCCAGAAACTAGTTACAAGTCTCCTGCATCCTGGAGCAAGTGTAAAACCAACTACATGAAAACCAGCAAGAGAGACAAGGACACCCTCTTGCCAAGGGCCCTACCCCTGGCATGGTCATGGTGCCATACAACTGGGGGAGATCCTAGCTCCCAGCTTTTCTCTGAGGAGGGAAGAAAGGACAAGACCATACATTCAGCATTTGAATTTTTTTTGGAGGCCACCTGAGATACTGGCTTCTGTCTCACTTGCCTTGGAGAGCTGATGGAACCAGGAACACTACAGCCACCTGGGGCTACTGAGAATAATGACTGTGGTTTGAAATGGCAAGCTAACACATGAAGCAGCCCAGCTCAGCACAAGGGAAACAAGCAGAAACAAACAAAAGAGCTCCCAGTGTCTCTATGGGAAGGGTAAGAAAGAATAGGACAATGAATCCAATGCTCTAATATTTTTGGAGGGTTCCCAAAGCACTGAATCCTGTCTTGCCTGCCTTAGAGGATTAATGAAATCTGGCATATTATAGCTACCTGGGAGCTAATGAGACCAGAAACTGTGGTTTGAAATAGTAAGTTAACACATGCCACAGCCCCACTCCCTTGCTCAATGCAAAGTGTTTGGGTAGGAAAAATCCTTAGCTCCAGATTTTCTCTTGTGAGGGAAGAAAAGAATTGGACCATACTTCCAAAACTCTGATTGTGCTGAGGGCTGCCAGAGGCATTGACATCTGTCTTATCTGTCTCAGAACTCTGATAAGACCTAGCATGTTCTAGATGCCTGATGATCAGTGAGAACAAAGGTCACAGTTTTATCTAGCATGAGGATTTGAGGGGCCCCTGGAATCTCTGGCTGGTCTGACTGGTGAGGATCCTCTCCTGTACAAGGTCAATCCATGAAGACTGGGAGTGCGGACATAAACACAAAGAGTCGAGAATAAAGAAACAGGAAAATATGTTCCAAACAAAGCAACACGATAATCTTCCAGAAACCAACCCTAATGAAACAGAGATATGATTTACCTGATAGAAAATTCAAATAGATGCTTGTAAAGGTGCTCAGTGAGTTCAGGAGAACAAAGCATATAAACAAAAGGAGAATTTCAACAAAGAGATAGAAAATATAAGAAAATGTGAAACAGATCATAGAGATGAAGAGTAAATAACTGAAATGAAAAATTAACTAGAGAAGTTCAACAGCAGACTAGATCAAACAGAAGACAGGATTAGTGAAATTCAAGACAGGTCACTGGAAATTATCTAGTTAGAAAAGCAAAGAGAAAAAAGAATGAAGAAAGCTTAAGGGACTTATAGGATGCCATTGAGTGGACTAATATACACATTATGGGAGTGTAAGAAGAAGGAGAAATAGAGATAAAGAGACAGAAAGCTTATTCAAAGAAATAATGAATGAAAACTTCCCAAATCTAGGGAAGGAAATGAACACCCAGATCAAGGATGTTCCACAAATTCAAATAGAGTAAACCCAAAGAAATTCACAGTGAGACACATAATTGAACTGACAAAATTTGAAGACAAAGAGAGAATTTGAAAGCAGCAAGAGAAAAGTGACTCATTCCATACAAGGAAATCTCCGTGGGGTTATCAACAGATTTATCAGCAGAAACATTGCATGCCAGAGAAGGTAGATGAGAATAAATTCAAAGTGCTGAAAGAAAAGACCCCTGCTAAGAATACTATACCTGATAAAAATGATCTCAAAAATAAAGGAGAGATAAAGACTTTCCTTCACAAATAAAATCTGAGGGAGTTCATCATTACCAGACCTGCCTAACAAGAAATGCTAAAGGAAGTTCTTCAAGTTGAAACAAAAGGAAGCTAAACAGCAATAATAAAATATATGAAAGTATAAAACTTGCTGGTAAGGGTAAATATAAAGACAAATACTATAATACTGTAATGGTAGTGGGTAAACTTTTAATCATAATATAAAAAAGTCAAAAGTACTGAAATAATTATAACCATAAAATGTGTTAATTGATACACAATATAAAAAGATATAAATCATGACATCAAGAACATAACGTGTGTGGGGGGTTTGTGGGGGGAGAAGTAAAAGTGTAGCTTTTGTATGCAACTGAAGTTAAGTTGTTTAAAGCTTAGAATAAACTGTTATGACTATGAGTTGTTTTATACAAGCTTCTTGGTAACCACAAAGAAAGTACATACAGAAGAGCCATAAAAAAAGAGAAGGAAATCAAAGTATAGCAATAAATACAAAACAAAATACAGAAGAATACAGCAAGGAAAAAAAGATGAACAAAACAACTACAAGGTAGTAAAAAAACATGGCTATAGTAAGTACTCGCCCATCAAAAGGAAGTACATTAATTACTCTAAATATAAAGGGATTAAACTCCTCAATCAAAAGACATAATGTAGCTGAATGGATGAAAAAAAACAAGATCCAACTTATATTGGATCAATTTATGTAAACTTCTTAAGTTTGACAACTTATTAAGTTTACATAACTTATTATTATTAATAAACTTAATAAACTTATTAAGTTTAGATTTAAGGACACATATAGGCCAAAAGTGTAGGGATGGAAAAAATCATGCTGCAAATTTTAACCAAAAGAAAGACTGGCTATACTTATATTGGACAAAATAGACTTTAAGTCAAAAACTGTCATGAGACAAAGAAGGATATTATACAAAGATAAAATGATCAACTCACCAAAAAGATATAACAACTATGAATGTATACACATCCAACATCAGAGCACTTAAATATACAATGCAAAATGTAACATAACTGATAAAAGAAATAAATAATATGATAATTGTGAGAGACTTCAATATCTCACTTTTAATAATATAACATTTGAAAAAAATCAATAAGGAAACAGGATCTGAACAACAGTATAGAACAAATTAATCTAACAGATCTATACAAAACATTTCACCAAAGAGCAGCAGAATATACCTTCTCCTCTTTTCCAATCACAATAGAATAAAACTAGAAATCAGTAGCTGAAGAAAAACTGGAAAATTTGCAAAATGTGACAACTAAACACACCTTGAACAACTAATGGGTCAAGGAAGAAATCAAAAGGAAAATTAGAAAGTCTCTTAAGACAAATGAAAACAAACAAACAAACAAAAAAACCCAAACAAAAAAACCCCAACATACCTGAACTTAGGGGATGCAGCAAAAGAGGTACTAAGAGAGAAGTTTATAGCAGTCAATGCCTATATTTAAAAAGCAGGAAACTCTCAAATAATCAACCTAACTTTACGTCTCAAGAAGCTGAAAAAGAAGAACAAACTAAGGCCAAAGTTAGCAGAAAGAAGGAAATAATAAAGATTAGAACAAAACTAAATGAAATAGAATAAAAATGTGACAAAAATGGACAAAAGTAAGAGTTTATTTTTTGAAAGTATAAACAAAATAGACAAACCACTAGTAGATTAAAAAAAAAGAGGGAAGGCCCAAATAAATAAAATTAGAAATAAAACAGGAGACATTACAACTGATGGAACCAAACTATTAATAAAAAGATTGTAAAAAACTACTATGAGCAACTATACACCAATAAATTGGATTACCTGGAAGAGATAGATAAATTCTCAGAAACATACAACCTACCAAGGTTGAGTCATGAAGAAACAGAAAATCTGAACAGACCTATACCCAGTGGAGGGATTGAAATAGTAATCAAAAACTTCCTACCAAAGAAAAGCCTAGAACCAAATGGCTTCAATAGTGAATTTGAACAAACATCCAAAAACGAATTAATGCCAATTCTTCTCAATCTCCTCTAAAGAATTGAGGAAGATGGAACACTTTCAATCTGATTTTATGAGGCCAGTGTTGCCTGATACCAAAGCCAGACAAAAATATCAGAAGAAAAGAAAACTACAGGCCAATATCCTTGATGACCATAGATGCAAAAATCCTCAAGAAAATACTGACAAACCAAGTTCAACAACTTACTAAGAGGATCAGACACCCATGACCAGCTGCAATTTATCCCTGGAAGGCAAGTATGGTTCAACATATAAAAATCAATTAAGGTAATACACCACACTGACAGAATAAAAGATAAGAACCACATGATCTTAATAGATGCAAAAAAGCATTTGTTAAAATTCAACATCCTTTCATGTTAAAAACTCTCAACAGACTAGAAATAGAGGGAAATTACCTTAACATGAAAAGCCATACATGAGATTATCATAGCTAACATTACACTCAATAGTGAAGAGCTTTTAAAAGTGTTTTCTTTAAGACCAGGAACAAGGCAAGGATGCCCACTCTCGCTACTTTTATTCAGCATAGTAGAGAAATCCTGGCCTGAGTAATTAGGCAGGAAAAAAAGGCATGTAGGTGAGAAAGAAAAAGTTAAAGTTATCCATGCTTGCAGATGGCATGATCTTATATATAGAAAACCCTAAAGACTCTACCAAAGAACTATTATAATTAATAAATGACTCAGTAATACAGCAGGATACAAAATCAACATACAAAAATTAGCTGTGTTTCTATATACTAACAATGAGCTATTTGAAAGGAAATTAGGCAAACAATCCTGTTTACAATAGCATCAAAAATAATAAAATACTTAGGAATAGACTTAACTAAGGAGATGAAAGACTAATATACTGAACTCTATAAACCACTGACAAAAAATTAAAGAATATAAACAAATGAGAAGATATTCCATGTTTGTGTTGGAACTTAATATTGTTAAAATGTCTATATTACTCAAAGCAATGTAGAGACTCAATGCAATCCCTACCAAAAAACCCAATCACATCTTTTACAGAAAGAGAAGAAATAGTTCTAAGATTCATATGGAATCACAAAAAACACCAAATAGCCAAAACAATTTTAAGAAGGAAGAGCAAAACTGGAGGCATCACATTTCCTGATTTTCAAAATACATTACAAGGCTATAGTAATTTAAACGATATAGTACTGGCATAAAGACAGACATATGGACAAATGGAACAGAATAGAGAGCCTAGAAGTAAACCCACATTTATATAATCAACTAATCTTTAAGAAGGGCACCAAGAATAAACAATGGGGAAAGTATCATATTCTCAATAATTGGTGCTGGGAAAATTGCACATCCACATGCAAAAGAATGAAAGTGGACCCTTGCTCAAAATGGTTTAAGTGCTTAAACATAAGTCCTGAAACTGTAAAACTATCAGAAGAAAATATAGGGAAAAAACTTTATGATGTTACTATTGGCAATGATTTCATGGATGTAATGCCAAAAGCATGGGCAACAAAACGAAAAACAGACAAGTGGAAATACATGAAACTAAAAAGCTTTTGTCCAGCAAAGGAAACAATCAATAGCATGAAAAGGTAACCTACAGAATAGAAGAAAATATTTGTAAACCATATATCAGATAAGAGGTTAATATCAGATAACAGGTTAATTTTCAGAATATATAAGGAACTCATACAACTCAATGCATAGAAAAAGCAACAATTAATAACCAACTTTTAAAAATATGCTCTGGGGTTGAATAGATATTAGTCCAAAGAAGACATACAAATGGCCAACAGATATGTGATGAGATGCTCAACATCACTAGTCATCAGAAAAATGCACATCAAAATCACAGTGAGATATCACTTCACATGTGTTAGAATGGCTATTGTAATGATCTTCTAATAGCATTCCAACTGTTAGTAGCTTCCATCTACTATTTATTATTGTAGTTAACTCCTCCCTTCTTTATTTATAAAACAAATAATTGCCTTCTTACAGATTACAAGGCAGAAATATATTGTCTTAAATCAGCAAGTCTATAGTTCATGTAGGTAAAAAACTATAATGAGGAAGGATTTTTAAATATCAGAAGATTTTAGAAAGAATAGTGAGTGCTGGGATACCAACTTGCTAAAAAACCAGAACAGATATGAAGATTGAGATACTGACCAAAAAAAGCAATAAATAATACTTCTAAGAAGAACTGACTTATTCTTAGAATGTGAGCAGCAAGTTAAGAAGGCAGATTTTGGGAAATACCTTTAAAATCAAGTTTTATCGTAATTTCTAGAGCAAGACTAAAACCATGAATACCTTAAAGAACATATACACTCTACCAGTTAAAGGTAATGTTTTTTAAACCTTGATATATATATATCTAAATGTAAACAAAATATGATTCTAAAAACACAATATATGTAAAATTATATATATATAAGTATATATATATATAATTTTAAAAATAGTAGGAAAGCAGGAAATCATTTATAAGTTACTTTTTGGGCTTTAGCCCATGCCTGTAACCCTAGCACTTTGGGAGGCCAGGGCAGGAGGATTGCTTGAGCCTAGGAGTTGGAGCCCAGCTTGGGCAACATAGTAAGACCCTGTTTCTACGAAAATAAACTAAACTAAACTTTAGCCAGGCATGGTGGTGTGTGCCTGTAGTTCCAGCTGCTCAGGAGGCTGAGGTAGGAGGATCCTCGAGCCCAAAAGTTGGAGGCTTCAGTGAGCTATGACTGTGCCACTGTACTCCTGTACTCCAGCCTGGGTGACAGAGGGAGACCCTGTCTCAAACAAACAAATAAACAAACAAACCAAATGTGATTTCTTTATAGAAAAACACAGCCAAGGGATTCAAAATATTTAATATTTGAAAGTGTATAATTTCTTGACTATTCAATATTTTTCCTGATTCCTTAGGCTCAGATAGAGGAACCAGCAATCAAGAATTATAAATATGCTAATGTGTGTCTAGTTTTGAACCTAAGTCTAAAAAGCACTGAGGTGGTCTGAATTCTGAGATTCTCATTGGAACATTTTGTTCCAAACAGATTTTTTTTAACGTTGCCTAGCTGAATTTTAACTTATAAATCATATAAAATTACATAAATTTTTCATTCGGATCAACTCCCATTTTTAAATTAGGAAATGTTTGTTTAGTGTGGGATCAACTAACAATTCTCATTTTACAAGACAGGTCACAGACACTTAAGAAACAAATTCAAGCACCTAATTAATTGTTGAGGAATAGTAGAGTTCACATGTTTTTTATTTCCATTATTAAGAAATTTTCATTTTTGTTTAAGACATTACTAAAGCAACAGTATTCTTGATTATAAATATATCTGTTTAAAATACATTTTCTTTTGATTTATGAATTTTAACTTGTAGCAATGGGAGGCTTAAAATGTTTCTGTCTGTAGTTAGATGACTTCGTTACTCTTCTTTTGCTTCAAAGTCTCCACAAATCTAAATTTGTTGTGACTTAGTATGAGGGCATTGGTAGGGTGTCATTTTTAGACAGTTTAAATTAATCATTATATAATTTGGTAGGGTATCATTTTTAGGGAGTTTAAATCTAAATTATAATATATCTAAATGTAAACAAAATATGATTCTATAAAACACAATTACAAATAAAGCTTGATATCAACAAAATATTTTTAGGAATATAAATATCAAGATCAGACTTTATTATGTATGTAAGAACTTTGTAGGTGCGAGTTCCTATTGCTCTTCCCTTTGTCTTTTTAACACTTTAGCTCTTCATGAATCATTTCTATCAGACTATCAGACTGGAGTAGTGAGGGAGTAGAGGTTAAAAAAAATAGATGGTCTTTTCTGTTATCTCCTTATTTTAAAGAAAGGGTTTTTATTTTTATTATATTATATATATATTTTTTGTCATTGTTGTTGTTGTTGTTTTTAAGAGCACTAAAATTGAGTCAGAAGGTATGACCTTGAGTTTAAAATGTATAATAATGCCAGCCTTGTAACTTGGGTGTTTGAGTCTTTCCCACTGATTATTGTGTCTTTTGGATATGGTGAGAGGAAGGAGAGAAGTAAGTGTTGCTGAATTAGAGCTTGAATTTGAAATGGAAGCAAATCCAACTCCTATTAATTGGGGAAAGTTGAGAGTCAAATTGGGAAGACCAGACACCTAAACCAACTCTCAGGTGAGGTGTCTGGTAAAGGACAGGCTCATAAATGAAAAAACAGAGCAAGAATCAAATTTTAAGAAGGGTCAGAAAAGACCAGTCTAAGAGAGGGCAGAGAGGGAAAGAGCAGTTGAGGACAGCCAGCTTGGAGGGATTATGGCTTATATGATCAGACTTTGGTTGTTTTTGAATGCATTTTATGCTGTATTTTCTTAAAGAATGGATTATGTCAGGAGTGTGCTAGAGTTGGCTCAAACTGGCTCATGCAATTTTTAGAAATCTTGCAAGCTGATTATTAAAAATAAATTATATAAACTTAAACTGAATTATATGAAAAACAAAGGCAATAAATACTCAAAACTCATCACTCCCAATTATTCTAATATATTTTGTTATTACTCATGTTCTTGAGATTATTTCCATCTATTGTATCTATATGTTGAAAATACTATATAATATTGTGTTGCTGCACATCACGAGTCCTAATTTGTCGCATTTTCTGACTTGCATGCTATAAATACTCCCACCATGGCTGATTTAAAGCTAGCACTGTGACATCATTGAATGCAGACTTGGGAAGAGATGCACAGGAAATTGTATATTTGAAAACTATTGTGTAATTCAATAAAAAATTACTCATTGACAAGTGAGTTTAGCATATACCTTAGTTATTTAATTTTTATCTTACTCATTAGTATATATAAATGTTAACCAACATTTATATTGTCAGTTGTAACTACAGGTTGGCAATGGTTATAAGATTTTTGTAAAAATCAACCAAAGTATTCTGTGAGAATCAGGTAGTTGTATGGAAATTACAATACAAAGTAATATCTATGTTAATATTATTTGTAAATTATGTGCTACACATTCTTTATATCAGTAAAGGTCATATAAGCTTATATATATACACACTTATACACATACACATTTTCCCCACAATGCCAGTTGCAGTTGTTAAACATTTATCAACACACCATTGGGATATTAATCTCAGTTCAACTGTCAGTCAAAGAGGAAGAAAACATCTTCCCTGACTATCTAGAAAGAGGGTGAAATTAGTCAATGCATGTGAAAGTTTGTTACACACTGCTAAGTACTACACAAATAACAATTAAGGTAATGATTAGGGAAACCGCCTTTCCTCTTGTGGTCCAGGCTTTCTTCAAGGTTTTAAAATGACAATATCTTGACTTTCTGAAACAAAAAAAGTTTCACTGGAGAAGAAAGTTGCTTTTAGTAAATTGTGTCAATTTTCTCTATCTCTGATATTTTTCTTGCTTATTTTAATGGTCTTTTATCCTAAACTATAAAATAGATCATTCAGAATGGTTATTTCTATTTGCATCTGAATTGAAACCATTGTGGTTTTTCAATTTACACAGCTGAGAACAGGAAGCTTTGAGTACAATTTAAAAAGAAAGAAAGAAACAACAACAACCCTATAATATCATGGGGAAATGAGGTAAGCAGAATAATTACTAAAATTGAAATTTGGCTGAAATGACAAGTTCAAAAACCCAACTATTTCCATATGTGCTCTTGGATCTTAAATAATTAAAAATGGCCATGACTCATTTCATCAATGTAGGAACTAACTCAGAGAAACCAATACCATTTGTTCATGGATGCTCATGATTATTACCCCTTGATGACTTGGCAAACAGCAGGAAGATTGGATCAAGTCAACTCTGCTTAATTTTCACCATTTGCTCAAATTAACGTACAAAATGACGTCTCATCCTATTCACAGAGCTGAATGTAACTCCAATAAACATAAGAGAAGGACTCTAATTAAAATTGGAACACTTTTTCCCTCATTATGTTATAACTTTGATTTATAAAAGGCAAACTAGTGTTATTCAGTCTAAGATGTTCATTGGAATCATTAATTTAAGAAACACTAAATGCTAGTCCCAACCTGCTGGGATCCTCATTTGGTTATTCGGAAGTTGGGCTTTGGTATTAGTATTTTTTTTTAAGTTTTAACGTCTGGAGGAGGTTGAGAACCACTGGCTGGATTTATGATATTTTCCTATAGTAAGTACTTCTCCAGAGGTCAGGTTCATTAAAGACAAGTCAGAGCTTACACCTGTAATGTGAATATCTTGTCAAAGATTCATGTTACAATAACTTTTTCTTCATACTTTTGTAAAAAATACTGCAACTCTCATATAAAAGTTAAACTTTATGTAATACTAGAAAACGAATAAATGCTATTATAAATTAATATTTTTCACATAAAGATGGCCAGTTATAACCTTTCTTTCCCCAAAAATGTTCAAAAATTGTCAGTCATCACTTGGTGTAGTAAATATCACCTTTCTCCTTAGTCTAAGCTTGTAATCCTTCTTTCTAATCACTCTGTATCCTACTTTGAACCTAGAGTTCCAGGTAGAACTTTAAATTCAGTGTGGAACTTAAGTCTTCACATTGGAATCAAAATTCCCTCAGCGTTTTCAGGCCTGTTAGCAACTTTCCTCTGCTCTAGAGACTGATGGTCCATTTAGTCATTTAAAACTGTTAGAAGTTGAAGGCATGGCCTGAGGTATCTTTGGTGCACTATTATTAGGAAGTCTTTGATATCCTTTGAGTTTCTTTACCAAAGAGCAAGGAAACAACTCTGTTACAAACACCTAAATCACCTCCACACTCCAGCTTGAAAAACACAGTTGCTTTCACTGAAATTTATTCATTCAGTTAACAGCATATTATAGAGCCCCTACTCTATGAAATACATGCATATCTGGAGGTTCTCTCAATAGTACTTCTGTACTATTATCATATACGTGTGTCAATAATTGTATTTGAAATTATTATTATTATTATTATTTTGAGACGGAGTCTCACTCTGTTGCCCAGGCTGGAGTGCGGTGGCGCGATCTCGGCTCACTGCAAGCTCCGCCTCCCGGGTTCACGCCATTCTCCTGCCTCAGCCTCCCGAGTAGCTGGGACTATAGGCGCCCGCCACTGCGCCCGGCTAATTTTCTGTATTTTTAGTAGAGACGGGGTTTCACCGTGTTAGCCAGGATGGTCTCAATCTCCTGACCTCGTGATCCACCCGCCTCGGCCTCCCAAAGTGCTGGGATTACAGGGGTGAGCCACCGCGCCCGGCCCTTATTTGAAATTATTTACAAATTATCATAATATTGAATCCTCATAGTAGTTTTATAAGCTTACTAAGGATCAGAAATTATATTATTTGCCTTAAGTAATATTTCATATAATATGTAGTGGTTGTGTCAATGGGTAACCTCGAAGAGGGTCTTAGTATCCTTTTCAATATTCTTCACTGTGTTCTCAAAGCCACTTCAATAAACATGCTCTCTAATGAAAACCAAGGAGCTTTATATGCAAAGAACTTTAAGATAATTTCTCTAGACACTCCTTCCACAATATTGTCATTCTGATGCTCTCTCTATGTAGAAATCCCAGAGCCTCCCCTGATACCACTGTACTATGTTCTATTGAATTACATGACATCATCTCTGAGTAATTTCTGCTTCATTTTTATTGCAATGAATCAAAAGTTGTAAAGCCACCCTCCTAAGGTTACAGAATTAAGTTATACGCAGTTAATAAGAGTCATAATCTTGAAATATTTGAAGGCGATTTAAAGCTCAGGCCTGCCTGTTTCCAAAGCCCGTGCTCTACCTGCAACATTTCATAAGAGACTAGCCACTACTAAAGTGAAAACACATGATAATTAGTGATTAAAACAAAGGATATTAAATATCATTTTATCTAGAGTAATATTTGTTCCAAAATGAATGGACACACACTAGACTTTTACACTAAAATATTATAGAATTTTTTGTTGTATCACAGGATGACGAATGCGTTTGAGTCCTGGTTTTACCACTTAGTGTTGTATGATTCATGAGAGAAGAAAGCTGTTTCAAATTTTATCTTTATCTTAAAGGATGAAATGCAAAACACTGTGAGCTATTTTCTGAAAATTTTCTCTTTTAATTCCTATAACTGCTTAAAATTGGTGACTCTTATACATTGCTAATAATTGTTAGCAAGTGGTATTAATTTGCTTTTTGTGTTGACACTTTTCTGGCTTTGCAGATAGTGCCACTGAACTAAATAAATATTTCTAAATCACAGCTTAAGGTATAGAAAAGGTGGCTCTTGAATAGAGATTATTTTTGAAGGTGGAGAGAATCTGTGTTTGCCCAGTAGCAAGGCAATGTTTTCAAATGATTCTGCTGGGATCTATTAAACTATAAAGCAAATCAGATGGCATATTTTTGCCTTGCCTTGCTGACAGCTTCATCTCACAGAGAGTACAGGAAGCAAGAAGGAACAGTTTCTTAGAATATAATTCTTATCAATAAGAGAGAAATAATTAGTGAAAGTAGAAGAGTTGGATACCTAAGGAGAAAAACAACTATTAATTCCTAGAGTATGTGATATCCAGAAGAAAAATGCTGAACTTAGTAGGCTAGATACATTTCAACTTTCAGAAGGCAAACTGGGGGGAAAAACAGGAAAAAAAAACCTACATGTGAGTGTCAAGACTGCAATTTTGGCTGTATAATCATAAGTGATGCAGTTAAGGGATAAAGGAAAATTTCATCTTTAAAATTAGTGCAGATCAGATCCGGCCTGAGGGAGACCTATGCAACAAATTACTCATTGCAAAAGATGGGAAGTTTGATGTTAGGAAGTCTAAATAAATGTAATAATCTGTGGCTTGCAAAAATACTAAAGCAACAAAGTAGGTCTTTGGAAACCTATGTTTAAATCAAAAGGTCAAAATAAGGAATAGGCCCACTTCTTGCAGCTAATGCCATCAAGTCAAGGGATGGCAAAGAAGAAGCTGATATCCTCAGCTCCAAACTTGTTTCTGTATCCTTTGTAAATGAATCTTAAAGCACTAAGAAAGTATTTGTGAATATTAAGAAAGACAAATTTAAAATAAAAATAATGAGAGATCCTTGCTACTGCAGAAGTGCAAATTTCTCTCTGAAAATAATTATACTGAAAGTTACCATGAAAAGTTGCTGTATGAATATGGTTGTTGCTGATGTCCTTAAAGCAAATGGGAACATTAAAACTGTGCAAATATTTTCAGTTTTTAAAATGGGAAGCAGGCCAGGCACCATGGCTCACACCTGTAATCTCAATACTTACGAGGCTAAGGCAGGGGATCTTTTGAGTCCAGGAGTTGGAGGCTATGGTGAGCTATGATCATACCACTGCACTCCAGCCTAGATGGCAGAGTGAGACCCTGTCTCAAATAAATAAATAAATAAATAAATAAATAAATATAGAATAGAAAGCAGTGAATTCAACAAAGTAGACAAGTGATATTTACATCAATTCCTAGAAAGTTTCAAAGATCCATGAAAGTTTCAAAGATCCATGAAAGTTTCTAAGATCCATCTTTCTAAGATGAAAGGACAGAGTTTGAAAGCCAAGAAAAAAAAAGCTGTAAGACCCAAAACACGGTATGATTTCTCTACAACTAAGTCTTTGTGGATCAATTCCTTTCTTCCTCAATGTTGCTGGACTTACCACTCCACCTTCTGTGGTCTGTAAGTGCGTTGTCTATATCCTGTACACTTTTTTTCTCACTGAAGTACAGCTAATTGTTTGAAAATCTTCTTCACATACATGCCTGTGTGGAACTTGAAAGCAGGAGGCTTATATCTTTATATCCACAGTGCTTCTATGAAAAATATTTACTGAATAAACTAATGGCAGATGAAAGAAATGCATTTGAAAATTTTATGTTAGTATTCCATTAAAGCATTTTGTAATTTCCTAATGGAATCTTTGTGAACAAGAGGGAGGAAAAACATATTGATTGCAAGGGCAACTAAGTAAATTAATAACTATATGAACCCAAAATATTAACAGTGTTTTTAAATAAATAAAAATGAATGAGAGGACTTGTTTCTAGTAGTGTATAGCAGGGCTTCTGTCTTTGGCCCTGTCTTGATCCACAATCAATGGTTTGGATAGAAACATGAAGGATAACTTATTAAGTTCATAGGTGACACAAATTTTGGTATCATAGTATAGAAGCCAGATCTTAGGAGCAGCATCTGAAAGCATTTTTTACAGCATTAGGAAAGGCTATTGAAATTAAGAAAGAGTAAATTAAAGGAAGCAGGATGAAATTTAACAGAGATAAGACATAATTGGGTCCAAACAACAGATGACAAATGTACAATATGGGATGCTTTATGCTAGGCAGTAGCATGGGCAAAAAGGGCTTGAGGGTGTCAGCGCTTTTTATGCTACATTTCTGTCATGTTTGCAAAACTCATTCATGTTTTGTTAGCTTTAGTTTTGTTCTGTTCTTTTTTAGTTAGAGGTAGAACCAGATTTCAAGGGGCTTGAAAGCATATATAGCTTTGTTCTTTAAAAAAGTATAGAAATCTTCTTTTTTGCTAACTTTATGAAAACATATTTTCCCATGAACACATTGATAGGGATCCTCCCAGCCTTGGAAGAGATCAGCACAAGCGAGTTGCCCAAAGTTTCAGCTTCACTGGCTTCATGAAAAATACAATTCCGCATGTGGTATTCTATTGTAAAAATAATTCAACAATGTATTCTAATGTTGATGGACTTTTGGTCCATTCCTAAATGCTAACTCTATGAAAAAAAAAAGAGCTGCCAGCATGTAAATATGATTTAGGTGGCACTATCCAATAGAACTGCAAGATGGTCCTGTTCCATATGGGTGCTGCTCAGTACAGTAGTCACCAGCCACATCTGGTTACTGAGTACTTGAGCTGTGGTTAGTGCACCTGAGGAATGAAGTTTTAAATTTAAAAAATGTTTAATTTATTTAGATGTAAACAACCACATGTGACTAGTGGTTAATGTATTGGACAGTGCAATTCTAGGATGTGTAACCAAGAGTGTCATTGCTGAAGCATAAGGCATGGATATATTTAACTTTTGGAAATATTTCTAACCTGTTTTACAAAGTGTTTTTAACAATTTATCGTACCAACAGTTTATATACATTTAAGTTTTTCCATATTCTCATTAACTGTTGAAATTTTCAGAATATTTAATTGGAGCTATTTGTGTGGGTGTGTGGTGGTCACTCACTGTTATTTTAATTGAGATATACCTTTACACATGGCCATGATTATTTGGATTTCCTTTTACATGAAGTATCAGTTTAAATCTTTTGCCCACATACTATTGGGTTGTCTATTGTTTTCTTGTTGTACTATTGGTGTTCTTTATAAGTTACATACTCTAAATATAAGTTCTCTGTTATATATTTTTCAAATATCCACACACAGAGTTTTAGAGAATAATACCCAAATCTCACTCCAGACCAATTAAATCATAACTTCTATGGGTGAGATTGTGACATATTTAAAGATCCCCTAGGTGATACTAATCTGCCTCTGTGAGGGGAATAGATTTAAACTCAGTGTAGGAAAGGATTGCTAACTATCAAAATTATCTCTCCGAAACAGTGTATGGTAGTGAACATATGGACTGTCTCTGGAATCAGATAACTGAAGTTTGTTCACAGGCTCTGATAGACCTTAGGCTTAACTTCTCTGTGCTTCAGTTTTTTCATCTGTAAAATTGAGTAACAGTACAAACCACACAGAGTTTTTGTGAATACTAAGTGAGCAATTTTTTGTAAAGTACTTAGAACCTCATGTGAAACATAGCAAGTATTCAATAAATACTAGCTATCATCATCATCATCATCAGCAGCAGCAGCAGAAATTTAAATTATCTGCCTCACAAAGTAGTGAGAGCTGTCATCTTTCTTAATAGGAAAACATCAGAAACCTTTCCACTAAAATCAGGAAGAAGGCAAGAATGCTTACCACCTCCTCCACTATTCAACAATGTTTTAGGAGTGTTAGCCAATATAATCAGACAAGAGAAATTAAACAGAGGCATAAGAATTAATAAAGAAGTAGTAAAGCAATTTCTATTTGCAGATGATATGATATTATACTTATAAATTTTTGATAATGATAAAATAAATTTAAACGATAAAAGAATTCAGTAATGTGGCAGATATAAAATTTACGGGCATAAATCAATACCTTTAATACACACAAACAATAGCCAGTGAGAGGGTATAATGATAGAGAAAACCTCATTTATACTGAAGACAAAAAAGAGTGAATATGGCCAGGTGTGGTGGCTCACGCAGGTAATCCCAGCACTTTGGGAGGCCAAGGTGGGTGGATCATGAGGTCAGGAGAGCGAGACCATCCTGGCTAACACGGTGAAATCCCGTCTCTACTAAAGATACAAAAAATTAGCTGGGCATGGTGGCTTGCGCCTGTAGTCCCAGCTACTCAGGAGGCTGAAGCAGGAAAATCACTTGAACCTGGGAAGCAGAGGCTGCAGTGAGCTGAGACTGCACCATTGCACTCCAGCTTGGGTGACAGAGCAAGACTCCATCAAAAAAAAAAAAAAAAAAAAAGTAGAAAGCCTAGAAATAGATCCAAGTAGATATAGAAATGTATAAGATAAAGACGATAACTCACTGTGGGTAATGATTGACCTTTAAATAAATAATACTTTTTAATAATAATAAGCAACCATTTGGAAAAAATATACAATTATACCCTATCTTACATCTACCACAAAAATAAAATCCAAATGGACCTGGGATCAAAATAGAAATAATTAAGCCATACAAGTACTTAGAAAAAAGCATGGGTGAATTCCATTTTAAACTGGATTTCTAACTATTATTAAAAAAATTCAAATGCAATTAATAAAAAGATTGATAATTTTTATTATAAACAAAAAATTGTGCATGGTAAAAAAATACTATAAACAAAAATCAAAAGGTATCTGATAAATGCTGAAAAATATTTGTAACATAGGATATAATGGATGAAGAACTAATATTTCTAATATGTAAAGAACTCTTAAAAATTAGAAGATGAAGAAAAAGAAATCTCTATAAAAATTGGAAAAAATAATAACAATTTATAATAGAGAAAAAGATAGAAGTTCCTTAAATATATAAAAACTATTCAAGCTTGCTCACAATTAGATAAGTATAATTTAAAACAACCCTGAGAAATCATTTCTCTCCTATCACACTGGAAAAAGTTTAAAAGTGTGATAATATACACTGTTACTGAAGTGGTAGGAAAAAAGATCCTCTTTCACACATTGCTGGTGGGAGTAGAAACTGGTATAACCTTCTAGAGGGGTATTTGGCAATTCCTAGCAAAACTACATTTTTTATTTGACCGAGAAACTCTAATTCTAAGAATTTATCCTGAAGCTACACCTCCAACAATGTGCAAATACATACATACAAGGTTAGTTACTCATTGCAGTACTGATTTTATTGCAAAATATTGGAAACAAGCTACAGAGTAGTTAAATTGACTATGGTATATTCACACTGGGTTATTACACAGCCATGAGGAAGATGTCTATGAACTAATATGTAGAGATGTCCAGTATTTATTGTTAAGGAAAAAAGTAAAGCATGAATCATATCTACGTGTAAGAAAAGAGGGGATATAAGAAGACAAACATGTATCTACCCAATTTTGCAAAAAGAAATACAGGAACGTTAAACCATAAACTATATGAGTGGTTACTTACAGAAGGTATGTAGGAACAAGGTGGAAAGAATGAGAAAAATAAAATCAGGGAAGAAAAATGAATGAAGCGCATATGCCTTTTGTATTAGCCCGTTCTCACGTTGCTGATAAAGACATACCTGAGACTGGGTAATTTATAAAGAAAGAAAAGTTTTATGGATTCACAGTTCCACATGGCTGGGAAGGCCTCACAATCATGACAGACAGGAAAAGGGATGTCTTAGATCGTGGCAGGCAAGAGAGAATGAAAATCAAGTGAAAGGAGTTTCCCCTTATAAAACTGTCAGATATTGTGGGACTTATTCTCTACCACAAGAAGAGTATGGGGGAAACCACCCCTCATGATTCAAGGATCTCCCACTGGGTCCCTCCCATAACACATGGGAATTATGGGAGCTACAATTCAAAATGAGATTTGGGTGGAGACACAGCCAAACCACATCATGTTTTATATAGTTCTGATGCTTGAAAACCTGATCATGCTTCACATAGTCAAATATAAATAATGAAAAATGTAATATAAAATGAAGGGAATGGAAAAATGGAAATGCAAAGAACTGACCTAAGTAACTTTGGAAGATAATGTTTTGACTGTAACCTGTAAGCTAAAGGTAATAACCATTTGCAATTATTATACTCTTAATATTTTTTCCTACAGGGGTGTGGGTTAGCAATTCTAAAATTTCTTTATGTGTATATCAGAACTGGGCAAAAAAGTAAACGTATTTGTGGATAAAAGCCTGTTTTTTCACTGTCAGGAAAGGAAGTAAATAAGAAAAGAGAAAGGCTTGAATGAACTCTGTAGTAGTTGATTGGAATTGGAGGTATCAGTATAAACTTGTTTTAAAATTATTAATATGGGGTGATTAATATAGAAATATAGATAAACACATAAGCATATGTGTATATATATGTTCATGTGTGTATATGTCATGTGTATACACACACACACACACACACACACACATATATATATATATATTTCCTAGCTCTGTAGGTTAGGGCCTAGAAGCAAGACACCTCAGTAGCAATGAGTGTATCTAGCACCCAGATTTTGGCTTCTAAATACTATTTTCCAATTAAAGGAACCAGAGCTCCTTGGAAAAACTCTTGATTCTGGGGCCAGGTTAAGGAAAATACACAATGATGCTGGGATATCTCATGCTGTCAGAAAGTCAGAAAATGCTAAAAAATGATTATGTCATGTTGGATAGATAGAGATACCAACATGAAAGAGCTCCCAATGGCCAAATATAGGATAGTTGGGGTAACAAAATAAATGATAGCATAGTTTATGATCTATAAGTTAAAATAAATATCTGTGAATCCATACTGATATAAATAAATAAATAGGTAAACGAAGGAGAAGAGATAGCTTTTCCTTACAGTAGAATTCCTATGCTAAATATAGAAAGAATGGTAGAAATAAGACCTTGTGAAGATGGCAGATAGGAGGCAGGACTAGCTTGCAGCTCCCACTCAGATGGACAGAGCAGCATGTGGAGACTCACATCATGAACTTTTGCTCCAAGAACTACTGCAGGAACATACCAAGAAAGCCAAAAGAATCCACAGACCCACTGAAGGAATTGGATCACCACTGCAGGCTCCCTGAGACCCCAAAAACCTGTGAGTCAGCTTGCATTCTCAGCAGGGAGGCCTGTGGTCTGAGGCAAGTTCTCAGCCTGGTCACTGGCTGCCTGGAAATAGACGCAAGGCTGTTAGTGGGGCACAGTGGGAGTGAGATGGGCCTCTAGGACTGTGGGCTGCATTTGGGAGAGGGGTGAGGCCTGTGACTGTTGACTTTCCCCCACTTTCCTGGTGACCTGTGTGACTCAGCATAGGTAGCCATAATCCTCTCCTTGGGAATATAACTCCATTGGACAGGGAACCACACCCCCATCCCCCACAGCAGCTACAGCAAGCCCTGCCCAAGGAGAGGCTGAGCTCAGACATGCCTATCCCTGCTACCACCTGGTGGTCTTTCTCTATCTGCCTTGGTAGTCGAAGGCAAAAGCAATAACCTCTTGGGAGCTCTATGGCCCTGCTCACCACCTGAGAAACCTGAATACTTAACCAGGTGTCCCTAGGGCAAGTTTACATCCTCCCTATAGGGCTGCAGCTGATGCACTCTTGAAAGTGTCACTTCCTGGCCGAAGGCCAATCAACACAAAACCAGCACACTGAACAAAAACACAACCAAAGGCCCTCACAGAGTCCACTTCATGCCCCTGCTACTTCCACCAGAGCAGTTGCTGGTATCCGTGTCTGCAAGATCTGAAGATGATCACATCACAGGACTCTTTGCAGACACTCCCCAGTACCAGACTGAAATCCAGTAGCTCTGCTGGGTGGCTAGACCCAGAAGAGCAAAAACAATCACTACAGTTTGGCCTCTGGAAGCCCCATTCCTAGGGGAAGAAGGAGAACACCACATCAAGGGATCATCCCGTGGGACAAAAGAACCTGAACAGCAGCCCTTGAATTCCAGATCTTCCCTCTGACATAGTCTGCCCAAATGAGAAGGAACCAGAAAAACAATTCTAGTAATATGACAGAACAAGTTTCTTTAACACCCTGAAAAGATCATACCAGCTCACCAGCAGTAGATCCAAACCAAGACAAAATTTCGGAATTTCCAGAAAAACAATTGAGAAGGTCAATTATTAAGCTAATCAAGGAGGCACCAAAGAAAGGTGAAGTCCAACTTCAAGAAATCAAAAACATGATACAGGATACGAAAGGAAAATTCTTCAGTGAAATAGAAAGCATAAATAAAAAACAATCACAACTTCTGGAAATGAAGGACACACTCAGAGAAATGCAAAATGCACTGGAAGGTCTCAGCAATAGAATTGAACAAGCAGAAGAAAATACTTCAGAGCTCAAAGACAGGCTTTTGAATTAACCAAATCCATCAAAGATACAGAAAAAAGAATTTTTAAAAATGTACAAAGCCTACAAGAAGTTTGGGACTGTGTTAAACATCCAAACCTAAGAACAAATCGTGTTCCTGAGGAAAAAGAGAAATCTGAAAGTTTGAAAAACATATTTGAGGGAATAATCCAGGAAAACCTCCCCAGTCTTGCTAGACATCTGGACATCCAAATACAAGAAAGTCAAAGAATACCTGGGAAATTCACTGCAAAAAGATCATCTCCTAGGAACATAGTCATCAGGTTACCGAAAGTCAAGATAAAGGAAATAATCTTAAGAGATGTGAGGCAAAAGCATCAGGTAACATATAAAGGAAAACCTATAAGATTAACAGCAGATTTCTCAGCAGAAATCCTACAACCTAGAAGGGATTGGGGTCCTACTTTTAGCCTCCTTAAACAAAACAATCATCATCCAATAATTTTGTATCCAGTGAAATTAAGCCTCATAAATGAAGGAAAGACACAGTTTTTTTCAGACAAACAAATGCTGAGAGAATTTGCCACTACCAAGCCAGCACTACAAGAACTGCTAAAAGGAGCTCTAACTATTGAAACCAATCCTCAAAATACACCAAAACAGAACCCCCTAAAAGCATAAATCTCATAGGACCTATATAACAATAACAATGAAAAAAACCAAGTTATTCAGGCAACAAATAGCATGATTAATAGAATAGTACCTCACGTCTCAATACTAACATTGAATGTAAATGGTCTAAATGCTCCACTTAAAAGATACAGAATGGCAGAGTGGATAAGAGTTCACTGACCAAGTTTCTGCCATCTTCAGGAGACTCGCCTAACACGTAAGGATTCACATGGACACCAAAAGTGAGCAAGAGTAGCTATTCTTACATCAGACAAAGCAAACTGTAAAGTAGCAGCAGTTTAAAAAGACAAAGAGGGACATTATACAATGATAAAAGAACTAGTCCAACAGGAAAATATCACAATTCTAAATATACATGCACCTAACACTGGAGCTCCCAAATTTATAAAACTATTACTACTAGACCTAAGAAATGAGATAGATGGCAGCACAATAATAGTGGGGGACTTTAATACTCCACGGACAGCACTAGACAGGTCATCAAGACAGGAAGTCAACAAAGAAACAATGAACTTAAACTATATCCTAGAACAAATGGACTTAACAGATATTTACAAAACATTCTACCCAATAACTGCAGAATATACATTCTATTCATCAGTACATGGAACGTTCTCCAAAATAGACCATATGATAGGCCACAAAACAAGTCTCAGTAAATTTAAGAAAATTAACATTATATTAAGTACTCTCTCAGACCACAGTGGAATAAAATTGGAAATCAACTCCAAAAGGAAGCCTAAAAACCATGCAAATACATGGAAATTAAATAACCTGCTCCTGAATGACTATTGGGTCAAAAATGAAATCAAGACGGAAATTTAAAAATTCTTTGAACTGAATGATAATAGTGACAAAACCTATCAAAACCTCTGGGATACAGCAAAAGTGGTGCTGAGAGAAAAGTTCATAGTATTAAATACCTACATCAAAAATTCTCAAAGAACACAAATAGACAATGTGAGGTCACACCTCATGGAACTGGTGAAACAAGAACAATTCAAACCCAATCCCAGCAGAAGGAAAGAAATAACAAATATCAGAGCAGAACTAAATGAAATTGAAACAAACAAAAAAAATTAATACAAAAGATAAATTAAACAAATAGGTGGTTCTTTGAAAAGATAAATAAAATCTGTAGACCATTAGCGAGATTTATCAAGAAAAGAAGAGAGAAGATCCAAATAAGCTCAATTACAAATGAAATGGGAAATATTACAGATGATACCAGAGAAATACAGAAGATTATTCAAGGCTACTGTGAATGCCTTTATGCACATAAACTAGATAACCTAGAGGAGATGAATAAATTCCCTGAATTATACAACCCTTCTAGATTAAACCAGGAAGATATAGAACCTTTAAACAGACCAATAACAAGCAGCAAGATTAAAATAGTAATTAAAAATTTGCCAACCAAAAAAAGTCCAGGACCAGACGAATTCACAAATGAATTCTATCAGATATCCAAAGAAAAATTGGTACCAGTCCTATTGACACTATTCCAAAAGATAGAGAAAGAGAGAGTTCTTCCTAAATCATTCTAGGAAGCCAGTATCATTCTAATACCAATACCAGGGAAGGACATAACAAATAAAGAAAACTATGGACTAGTATCCCTGGTGAACATAGATGCAAAAATCCTCAACAAAATACTAGCTAACTGAATCCAACAGCATATCAAAAAGAGAATCCACCATGATCAAGTGGGTTTCATACCAGGAATGCAGGAATGGTTTAACATATGTAAGTCCATAAATGTAATACACCACATAAACAGAATTAAAAACAAAAATCACATAATCATCTCAATAGATGCAGAAAAAGCATTTGACAAAAGTCCAGCATCTCTTTATGATTAAAACCCTCAGCAAAATCAGCATAGAAGGGACATATCCTAAGGTAATAAAAGCCATCTATGACAAATCCACAGCCAACATTATACTGAACAGGGAAAAGTAAAAAGCATACCCCTGAGACGTGGAACAAGACAAGGATGCCCACTTTCATCACTTCTGTTCAACATAGAAGTCCTAGGCAAGCAATCAGACAAGAGAAAGGAAAAAAGGGCAAATTGGCACAGAGGAAGTCAAACTGTTGCTGTTTGCGATGATCCTGGAAAACCCTAACGACTCATCTAAAAAGCTCCTAGAACTGGTAAATAAATTCTGCAAAGTTTCAGGATACAAATTAATGTTCACAAATCAGTAGCTCTGCTATACACCAACAGAAACCAAGCTGAGAATCAAACCTAGAACTCAACCCCTTTCACAACAGCTGCAAAGACAATAAAATACTGAGAGGTGAAAGACAAGAAAAGCTACCAAACACTGCTGAAAGAGATCATAGATGACACAAGCAAATGGAAGCACATCCCATGCTCATGTATGGGTAGAATCAATTTTGTGAAAATGACCATACTGCCAAAGGAAATCTACAAATTCAATGCAATTCTCATCAAAACACCACCATCATTCCTTCACAGAACTAGAAAAACAATCCTAAAATTCTTGTATAACCAAAAAAGAGCCCACATAGCCAAAGCAAGACTAAGCAAAGAGAACAAATCTGGAGGCATTACATTTCCAAAATTCAAACTATATTACAAGGCCATAGTCATCAAAATAGCATGGTACTGGTATAAAAATAGGCACATAGACGAATGGAACAGAATAGGGAACCCAGAAATAAAACCAAATACTTATAGTCAACTCATCTTTGACAAAGAAAACAAAAACATAAAGTGGGGAAAAGATACCCTATTCAACAAATGGTGCTGGGATAATTGGCAAACCACATGTAGAAGAAAGAAACTGGATCCTCATCTTTCATCTTACACAAAAATCAACTCAAGATGGATCAAGACTTAAATCTAAGACCTGAAGCCATAAATATTCTATAGGATAAAATTGGCAAAACCCTTCTAGACATTGGGTTAGGCAAAGTCTTAATGACCAAGAACCCAAAAGCAAATGCAACAAAAATAAAGATAAATAGATGGGACTTAAGTAAGCTAAAAAACTTCTGCACAGTGAAGGAAATAATCAGCAGAGTTAACAGACAAGCCACAGCATGGGAAAAAAATCTTTATAATCTATACATCAGACAAAAGAGTGATATCTAGAATCTACAAAGAACTCAAATAGGTCATCAAGGAAAAAACAAACAATCCTACCAAAAAGTGGGCTAAGGATTTGAATAGACAATTCTCAAAAGAGGATATACAAATGGCCAGAAGCATATAGAAAAATGCTCAACACCACTAATGATCAGGGAAATGCAAATCTAAATCACAATGCAATGCCACCTCACATTTGCAAGAATGGCCATGATTATAAAATAAAAAAAAAAATAGATGTTGACAGGGATGTGGTAAAAAGGGAACACTTTTACACTGTTGGTGGTAATGTAAACTAGTACAACCACTATAGAAAACAGTGTGGAGATTCCTTGCAGAACTAAAAGTGATATACCATTTGATCCAGCAATCTCACTAGAAGGTATCTACCCAGAGGAAAAGGAGTCATTATATGAAAAAGATACTTGCACATGCATGTTTATCACAGCAGAATTTGTAATCTCAAAAATATGGAACTGGCCCAAAAGCCCAACAATCAACGAGTTGATAAAGAAATTGTAGTATATATATATATATATACATGGAATACTACTCAGCCATAAAAAGGAACAAAATAATGGCATTCACAGCAACCTGCATGGAATTAGAGACTATTATTCTAAGTGAAGCAACTCAGGAATGAAAAATCAAACATCATACGTTCTCATTCATATGTGTGAGTTAAGCCATGAGGATGCAAAGGTGTAAGAATGATACATTGGACTTTGGACACTCAGGGGAAAGGGTTGGGCTAGCTAGGGCTAAAAGACTGCACATTGGGTACAGTGTACACTACTCGGGTGATGGGTGCACCAAAATCTCAGAAATCACCACTAAAGGACTTATTCATGTAACCAAATACCACCTGTTCCCTAAAAACCTATTGAAATAAAAAAACAAAAAAATAAATAAAATGTGTTTATGTGCATCAGGAATCATGTATAAAAATGTTTATCACCACATTATTCATAATATACAAAGAATGAAACCAAAAGAAGAATCGTAGAAATAGAAAATTACCATCGCATAATAATTGTTGCAGGTAAGATTCATCAGTGCATGCTAAAGTTAGTTGGCAAGTTGTGATATGAAGCATAATATCTTCATAACCTCAAAATGTCTCTCCACAAGACACTTAAAAATTACAAGGGGGAAAAATAGAAACTTTACATAGAGAAATCTGGCAGACACCAATTTTATGAAGGGATCAAAGTTCACATCACCATCATAAGATGTATCAACATCATGTACCTTTTGAGATGATGCACTAGAAAAGACGAACATCACTTTTGTGATATTCTTGTCTTTAATTCTGTCAATTGAAAAATAAGACAATTACTAATTGAGGGGTATTCCAAAAATAAAAAACAAAATTGGCCAGTAGTCTTCAAAAGAGTAAACGTCCTGCGAAACAAAGAAAGACTGAGAAGCTGTTACAAATTGGAGGTAAGGAGACATAAAAACAAGTACGATTTATCATCAGGGATTAGATCCAGAACCAGAAAGAGAACAATTGGTAAAGCTGAAATAAAATTTAGAGATTAGTTATTAATTTCTTGATAATTGCATTGTACAGTGTAACTTTACATTAGTGGAAACTGAATTAAGATATATTGAAACTCTGTACTATTTTTTTGCAACTGTTTTGTAGGTCATGTATTAGTTCACAATAAAAAGTTTAAAAAATGTAGTGAGTTCCTAGTCACTTGAGTTCAAGTAGAGAGTAACCAAGAAGAGATTTAAGCCACAGCTGGGTCATTTCAGTACACAATCTTTTAGGTTTCTTAAGCCAGGAGACTTTTATGAGAATGTTAACAGAATTCTTAGCTAACAGATAAATTATATGATTCCACACAAGCTTTGATCCAATGCTAATTCCCTTCAATTTGTAGAACGTGAGCAGTTAGAGCTATTTTACTCATTGCAGCAAATGATGCATGCTGTGAAGATCACAAAATGTACTATGAAATATCTGAAGTAGTTTAGAATAAAATTCCCTTAGGTTCAACTTCCAAGATTTTATATACTTGAGAACAAATTTATATTCATGGATGAATTTTCAGCCACACTTCAAATAGCCACTCTAAACTATACCAGATAATGACACAAAGGGCTGAAACAATTAAATTGAGGTTAAAGTTATGCTGTGAAGTGGAGAAAAGCAGAGCGCATGCAGTACATGCAGCAGGACTTTTTTTGGTTTGTATGTTTTTGTCAAAAGTAAAAATATATGCATAGAAAACAGCCAGATATTTTATACAACAAAATGTAAACAGTGGTTAACTCTGGGTAGGTGGAAGTGAGTTTTTTCTTTGCTTATCGGCAATTTCTAGATTTTCTACAATAATTATAAGTTAGTTTAATAATTATAAAAACAATAAAGTTTGTACTTTTAAAAAACTAGGCAGTGTAGCAAATTTTCAATTTTCTGAACAGCTAGTAATAAACTAAGCACTTCAAACAAATGGATGTAGTCAAAAATAAAGTATATTCCAGATGATTATTTTTGTTAAGATGACTGGGTGGAGGCTATAAATAGGTTTTAAGTGGATTTTTTCTAGTATGGTCATTTCAGTTAAAATGTCAGAAATTACTCAGAGACAAGTTTAGGCATCTTCATTTTAAGCTAATAATATAACAGAAAACAGCAATACACTGTTCTCGTTTTTTAAATAGTTTATTTTTTAAAGTGAAAAGAAAAGATGCACAGTTTTTAGGAAGAGGAAAAAGATACCCGTATTGAGTATTTTCTTCCAGCCTTATACTTTATGGGTCGTATATTAAATAGAAAGAATTAATTTTGCCCTGCACTTCAAACTCATGCGCATTCTCTAGCCATTAGAATCTAAAGCAGCACTTTAAAATTTTTAATGTGCATATTAGCCCACTGGGGGATTTTGATTATAGGTCTGAGGTGGGACCTTGGTTTGTACAGAAATCATCTGGAAGCTTATTAGGAATGGAGAATCTTGGATCCCATCTCATACCTAATCAATCAAAATCTGCATTTTAATAAGATACCCATTTGACTCGTATGTACATTAAAACTTGAGAAGCTCTGATCTAAAGAGCTCAAAATAGTCTAGCTGGCTTTTGGATTCTGTAGTTTCCTATGAAAATTACTTAAATAAATAATAATATTTTAAAAATACTATAGAAACCAACGCTGCTACTAAACTCTGTTAACAACTGACACAACATAACTTTAGAAAACTCTTTTTAGAGAGCTAAAACATTTTCCTTAAAATGAAAATAAAATTTCCTCGATTCTCAGGCGACTTTAAAATTAGTTCTTGTTGGCCTTATTTATCCTTTAAGCTAAGTGGTTATGTAGTAAATTTAAACACAATTACCTCCCTCTGCTTTGTCTCTCATTTGAGAGGGAATATTTCAGAATCTGTTTTTAAAACACCCTACTGGCAAAATGGAGGACCTTGCACCTTACAGATCCTATAATGATAGGATTGTAAATAGATTAAAAGTTTCAGGATATCTATGTTTTTGATTCACAAAAATAAATGAGTGAGTTTCTGGAACTCTAAAACAAAACATTAAAAGGAAAGAAAATGGAATCCAGGGTAATTTTATGAACTTGGTATTAAAAGAGAAAATAGAGTGATCACCCACAAGCCAGCCAATTATTTTATAAGTCCAATTTTCTTTATTCATAGATGACAAAATGTGGGGTTCTAGAAAATTATCATTTCATTTCAGAAAGAGTCATACTGGTGGCTATCACATTAAGACTTTCTAACTAAAAAACTCTGACGTTTCTTACTATTTCTTCTGAACTTTCAAAATGGTAAACTGCTTAGATTTCTACTTATTAGGGGTTCAAAAAGAAGTAATTGTGTGGCCATGTTTAAATTGAATTTCAGTCTTATGAATACCTTCAATTCTTGTAAATTTTATGGGATCACATTTAAATCTACTGAAGCCATTGTATTGCCATAATTTCTACACCTTAACCTTAATTTGATGATATTCTCACTCCTACCAGGACTTCCAAGAAAATATTCTGAAAATTGTTAACATAAACTTTAATTAAAAAAAAGCATATTGTAGAAATAAAAGAGAGCTCACTAAATATGTTTAAAATCAAATCTGCTTTTAAAATATCCTGAGAACACCTACTATTAAATGTAGTACCATTAGATACAAACTGATAAATTGAGCCTAAGTGTTTGAAAGTACAACCATAAAACAATCAAAAGAAGTAGTGTTTTTATAGAGTAACTGCTGTGTCTACCACACAGTTTAATGCATCACTATATACGATACATATGTTAACATTGCTTTGAGAGCAAAAAACGGCACTGGGAAGAAAAAGATAAAAATGAAAGTCCTTTCTAAGTCATCATTCACTTCCATGTAATATTTGCTGCTGAAGAAAAGGGTAAGAATTAAAAGTTGTTTTAGTCTTAGGAAAAGTCCTCATAAGGTTTTCAGTCCTAAATGTGTTTTTGCTAGCATTTTAAATTACAATGTGAACATTTTAAACTTTGTGATTTAGAATGTTTTGTAGAATTTTGTAAACAAATTTACAAGAAAAAAACAAACAACCCCATCAAAAAGTGGGCGAAGGACATGAACAGACACTTCTCAAAAGAAGACATTTATGCAGCCAAAAGACACATGAAAAAATGCTCATCATCACTGGCCATCAGAGAAATGCAAATCAAAACCACGATGAGATACCATCTCACACCAGTTAGAATGGCAATCATTAAAAAGTCAGGAAACAACAGGTGCTGGAGAGGATGTGGAGAAATAGGAACACTTTTACACTGTTGGTGGGACTGTAAACTAGTTCAACCATTGTGGAAGTCAGTGTGGCGATTCCTCAGGGATCTAGAACTAGAAATACCATTTGACCCAGCCATCCCATTACTGGGTATATACCCAAAGGACTATAAATCATGCTGCTATAAAGACACATGCACAGGTATGTTTATTGTGGCATTATTCACAATAGCAAAGACTTGGAACCAACCCAAATGCCCAACAATGATAGACTGGATTAAGAAAATGTGGCACATATACACCATGGAATACTATGCAGCCATAAAAAATGATGAGTTCATGTCCTTTGTAGGGACATGGATGAAATTGGAAATCATCGTTCTCAGTAAACTATCTCAAGAACAAAAAACCAAACACTGCATATTCTCACTCATAGGTGGGAATTGAACAATGAGATCACATGGACACAGGAAGGGGAACATCACACTCTGGGGACTGTTGTGGGGTGGGGGGAGGGGAGAGGGATAGCACTGGGAGATATACCTAATGCTAGATGACGAGTTAGTGGGTGCAGCGCACCAGCATGGCACATGTATACATATGTAACTAACCTGCACAATGTGCACATGTACCTTAAAACTTAAAGTATAATAATAATAATAAAAAAGAGGTCACTATTCAACTTTGACTTTCAAAAAAAAAGAACCTTTTTAATTTAAAATTTTGTATTTGTGTTTAAGGCTAACCTTAAAGACCACAGGTACTTTTACTAAGGGAAGGTTATACAAAAAATGTCAGTCTGTGGTTTAGGATTTCTTCCTGTTGTTTTAAAATTTATGATAGTATTTTATTTAATTTTAATTAGTCCCTGGAAATAAAAAGTTTTACCTTTCCAGAATATTGTATTATCCATCTTTTACCACTAATCATTATTTTTCATAGCGACCATTTCAGAGAAGTTTCCTGAAAGACTTGATCATCACAGTTGTTTAAATATCTATATTTAACAAGTCAATATTTATAGCTGAAAGATACCTGGATTGATCAAAGTTTTATACTTTACATAAATCATTTTAATTTTCGATTTAAAGAAGATTGTGGGTAAGTTGTTCTTCATCATTCTCCCAGGACAATGTACTTATGTGCAAGCAGTGTCTGATTCTTTCACGTTTCTAGTTATAGTTATTTGACCCTACTTTCCAAACTATAACCAAGGCTTTTAAATGAGGATGTTAAGTTGTGGTATTTTAGATAATAATTTCCATGGTTTTGATGAAATAAATAAGAAAATTGAGCTTAGTCATGTTAAATGAACAAAAGCAGGCCCCAGAAGACTATATATAGCATGATACCATCTTTAGAAGGCTCAAAATTAGCAAAGCTAAACAATATAGTATGTTAGAAGTACATACATTTGTGATAGAAGAATACAACAAAAAATATGAGTAAGATTCAAGATAGCTGTAATCTGTAAGGGGTAATCACGAGGATGATATAGGTGACTAGCACAGAAGGTAGTTACAAGTTATTGGGATGGACACACACACACATATATGCGCTTCATTATGAATATAACTTAACAATTTCTAAGTGCAACACTAAGAGGTTTACATTATTCAGGAGCAAATTGGCGATGAAAGTGTTGGAATTCCCCTCTTAGCTAGGGAAACACATTTTTCCTAAACATATGGAGCGTTGTGTTCTTTGGCCTCCACCTTTTACTGTACTATTTAATTTATGACAAATATTTAGTGATATTTTCCTTTGATTTCTAAACTCTAAACATATGCACAATTGTCTCTTTGTATAATATATTTTGTACACCTTATTTTACTATTCAACTCACTTTTAAAACAATGGTATCAGGAGACTAGTAGTTTTATTTAATCAATGAGAATAAAGAAAATCTCAAATTATTCTGCTCATATTTATAGTTGGTGTTATATGATCATACTTTTGATCAATGAGTACATTACTCCTAGCAGTGTATTTATTTCTAAAATAATGCTTTTGATTCCAGAGATTAGGTGCATGTAGATTCTGATTTCCATTAACTCATGTAGAAAAAAAGACTCCTTTTTCCTAGGAAATCAATAGTGTGGAAAGCAAGGGCAACTTGATTATCACATATGAGAGCTTGGGGAAAGAAAAAATCTCATATCAATATCACACTGCCATTTCAATGAATAAGAAGGATCCCTCACCATTTTTGGAAGGCTGAGATCTAGGAAAGGATGAGAAATTCATGTGCAAATTCTTTTAGTTTTATAAAATATTATAAAATGATTCTTCCATATTTAAGGAGATGGAACATTCGTAAGGGCTTGCAAATGCTCACGAGAATGTATTCTGTAATATTTTTTTTCTGCTGGGTACTGGAGGGATTAGTTCTAGTAAGACTGATAGGCAAGCTGCCTAATATACTTTCAACAGAACAACACTTCTCACTGCTAGTTGTATAAATATTTGCCTTTACATGAAAAAATAAAACTTCCCTTGGAGACTTAAGGTATACCTTTGGAATGGAGGAGGGAAAAATAAAATATACAAATTAAATTAATTTGGACCATGAGTTCTGCGAATCTAATCTGAATTTATGCAGGTTACTTGAGGTTAAAAAAGAATTCCCTACCCTTCTTAAAGAGCCTGTTTAACTCTTCCTATTATAAAATGTATAGATTTTAAACTGATTAAAAGAATTAAAAAGTCCTTCAAAAGAGACCTTGAAATAAAATTAAATAGCATGGAAATTAATTGAGGCAAGTGAAGTTAATGTTGGGCTTGATTGAATAAAACAAACAACTGATAATGTTTTTCATGACTATCATATTTAGTATCACTTTCAATTTAACAGCAAGAACAACTTTTACTGTACCTGACGAGGGGTTCTTTCTGATTTACTCCTACACCACTCCCAGTCTGAAAGATCTGGTTTCTGACTCTCTTCATGAGACAGTCTTCTTTCTGGCCCTTCAGAAAAGGTAGTTTCTTCATAGTTAATATCACCTCCTGTTTTGTCAGAAAACGCATCCTTTTTGTTGTTGGAATCCTGTTTAGCTTCTGTAATATCAGTATTTGTGCATTTGTTGATGCCTCTTTGTGTGGAGCTGTCCAGAGAGGGCGTGGTGCTGATTTCTACTTTTATAGCATTGAAGATGTTACGGTTGTCTCTCTGAGGGTCTTTTGTAGTTTCACACTCAGAGTTCATCAGGTTGTGATAGAATATGGAATTTTCATCATCATCATAGTAATCTTCATGTGCTATTTTATAAATCCCATAACTTTTTTGGAATGATAGATTGAATTCAAAGCCTTTTCTCTTGACTGAGTAAAAATAAAAACAACAGTTTATGGCTAGTAAGGTAGATAAAGACAACATTGTATATATATAGCAAATAAAAATAGAAAGCGCATTCAACTTGATTATTATACATTTTAAAACTATCTTCATTTACTTTTTGTCAGTTATGCAAAGAAATTATGCCTCAGAAAATTATCTTTCCACCCTGTGCCTAATTTTTCTCATTTACAAAATGATGGTCTTTAAATACATACAATCTTAAAAACTCTTTCAGTCTCTAAAGAAGCCTTACATAACAAAAACTTAGCCATACATTAGGAAATTCTCAAATACATTGTTTTAGCTTTTCTTAGTCTACCAATGATTTTGCACATTTCCTTATATTTTGGGATAAGAGATATTATTTATAAATTTTATTTTGCTAGAAATTAATTATTAAGTAGCCTTAATATTATGTGAGTTATTCAGCTAAGAATACCACCAATAAATATAACTTCTTAAAATATTTTGGTATATAATTTTTTGTCATTTATATGTCTATAAGTGCATACATTAAAAATTAGACTATACTGCAAAACAGCTTTTAAATTTTAAAAAATAACATGTACATTTCTGATACAAATAAATGTGAAAAGAACTGGTAAAAATTAGATGGATTAATATTTTTTGTAAATTGAAGCACTTTACAATGTCTATAAAGCTGATTATTACAAGAAGAGTTTAGCAGGAATGCATAAAACTTTTTATGATTTAAATCAGGTGAAATATGATGAAATAATAATTATAGTACTATTAGTTGGTGGAGTGATGCAAAATCTTAGAATAAAAAGCAAGAAAGTGACAGAAAGTGATACAATTTTTATGTTGAATGTCATTAAATGCTAGATAAGTTTTATATATTAAGAATGAAGTTATATCAAGGTGGTAGACAAGATATAATTTAATGTTTTTGCTTTCATCTGTCAAAACATGGTTTGTTTCAAACATATTTTCTACTTTGATAGCTCTGTGTTTTATACTGAGACATTTAGCTATCTTCGATAGAAAAAAATGTATGAAAAGCTATAATCTTTCTATGGAAAAGATAAGTAAAATTTGATCCATTTTGCAATATACCCGAGTGTCATTCATATGCTGATTCTATTACTGAAATGTTTCTCAGAATCTAAGATTTATAAACCAATTCTGTTGACTGAAAAATAGAATTTATTAGTATCATTCATTGTTGTTTGAGCCAGAACACAAACAAGAACAAGTTTGATTCAAAGAAAAAATAGAAGTAGAAACAGATGTTCATATTTTATATACTGTCTCATTTATATTTTTACTGACCTTTTCTAGTAACATAGTCAAGTAAAATTAAGTTATACTGTTTAACTTGCTTTAAGAATGTGAAAGGTGAAGGAACTAAAAGGATGTTTAAATTATTGATGGGTTTCTATTGTTCTCCAAAAAAGATATAAAGTGACAAATTGTCATTTCAAGGCCATTAAGAAAACAAATGCTGTCATAAAATCCCAATTTTGTGATATAACATGATAAAATTGATGTCTATGACTATAATTTTATTAGTTGCACATTGTAATCTCAAATATATAAAGCAAAAATTAGTAATGTTTTTGAAGGAGTGTGCAGAATGTGTTAAAGGAGACTTCACCTCCATGTCACAAGGGACAAGGGGCAGTGTGAGGTAGGCTATGAAAAGAAAGGAGAATTATCAAGAGACCATGATGTGATAGAACATTCTGAGGCCATTTTGCACATCGATTATCTCATTTAACACACAACAACCCTACATAATAAAAAACGTATTGATTCTATTTTACACTGGAGAAAACGGGGGGTGACAGACGAAAGCTACTGAAGATTGCTTACAGGTAAAACGATATGAATTTAAAGCTAGCTGTTTTCAGAATTGGAGTTGTCTTTATTTGAAATTGTTTTCTTGCTAATCAGACCCATGAAAGAATTATGTTAATGGAAGCAGAATTACACAATGTGCTGTTTTTAAGTCAGAGGAAATACAGTAATTATGAAGTGTAATCAATGGAAACATTTCTTGTTAGTGACTTATCACTTAAATGGCAAATTCTGCCTGAAGTAACTAATGTACCTGAACTTGAGATAATAGGTTATAACAGTATCATAAAGTTGACAATGTAAGATGAGAGGCTGGTTGTAAGGGGGCGAATCCCTATAAAAACAAATTAAAACAACATAGTTAATAATCAAAATTAGGTTGAAGAAAATATGAGAATCAGAGTCAAAACTAATCATTTTTAAGTTCTTTGAGGGTAAAGATTAGGTCTTTTTAAAAAATGAACCAAAAATATAAAATAAAAAGTGTCTATGGGGCCAGTTAGGTAACATTAATTATTATTATTATTTTTTATTATTATTATACTTTAAGTTCTAGGGTACATGTGCACAACGTGCAGATTTGTTACATATGTATACATGTGCCATGTTGGTGTGCTGCACCCATTAACTCGTCATTTACATTAGGTATATCTCCTATGCTTTAATTATTAACAAAGGCAAATGGGAAAGTTCTTCCTCCATCTAAGGAGGATTCTCAGCTCCAGCCAGTTGTGGGGAGATTAGGGGTTGTGTTGTCAATAATTCTAATTTTTCAGACAAACCACGTTCATAGACTTGATGTAAAATATCCTGATCTTAAAATTTCGGTCCATAATTAAAATTAGTTTTAAGTAACAATAAAAATTGGTTAAACACCAGATCTTTGAACCAAATTCAGCTCATGGGTCATGGGTTGGGAATTTCTGTTCCTTACTGAACATGCAGCACAGTGCTAGACACATAGTGACTTTTTCCCTAATAAATATTTATTTATTGAGTGAGTGAATTAATGAATGAATGAAGCAACCTGTAGGAATCATGCTTGGTGTGATAGGAATGGTTTGTTAGGTTAGCCTTGACTCAATGATGCTAGCTGAATAACATATGATTTCAAAAAAATGGTATCTTTATAATATTGATTTATTTATAGGAGGAAGGCCTTGACAGTGCTACAGTTCCTGACTCCTACTTTTATATCACTAAAAAAATACATAGTTGAGATTTTTTAAAAACTGTTTTTTGTATTTCGTGTGTGTGTCTGTGAAAGATAGAGATCTTTCACTGATTAATAATTTGCAAGAAACTTAAAAGCCATCAGAATATTGTCTAGAATCTTTTGAAATTTATACTAAACATCTTAAAAATAAATATAATTTTTGTTCTTAAAAGCAAAATCTTTATTCTTCCAAAATCCTTGATAAAATATGAATTAGCTCTAGTCTTCTGCTTTTAGTCACATCTTGCCAATTACAATTTTAGATGTGAGTAATTACATCCACTTATAAAAACAAATCATTTTTCGGAGTAATGTCACTTACCAGATACTATCATTTTGTCAAAAAAAAAAAAAGACCAAAAATCTGTTTTTTATACAATGTGTTTGACATTTAGCTGTTTAATTTAAAAAACGTCATGTCAGGCAAACAAAATGAGTCTGAAAGCCATATCCAAACAGTGTGTCTACTGCCTGAGACCTCTATGTTAAAATCATTTGAGAAGCAAAACAAAACAAAACAAAACAACAACAACAACAAAAAAACACTTTTGAGACACTAGTAGTACAGATTCTTGTTGGAAACAGGAGAGGATTATTATTTCTGCAAATTATTTTCCACTGCTCACATTCATTTTCTGGTTGCACTTCTCTCAGTTCCCATTTAGTGAAGTTGAGATGTATAATTATATTTACATCTTCAACATTAACCTATGATAAATATGTTAGGAAAAAATATTTTCTCTCTCTTGCTTCTGAAGTTCACTGACTGATAAAGGATGTAAAGAGAGGGAATCTTAGTTTGTTATGGACAAAAAGTTTAAACATAAAACTCGAACCATCAAAGAATTAAGATACTCTAGCTGATCAACCACCTGGCCCACCTAAGCATGTGCTACCTTTGGGGTTTTAAAATTTTGTTGTGTTACACTATCAATAGGAAAATTGATGGTGGCTTCTCAGACAGTAGAAACACATCATTGTTATTATCAGAATTTTCTGATATCACAGCCTGGATCATAAGAGGGAATGGAGTCATTTGAACTATAAGCATCTTAAGCTAAAGTTTCTCACAATGTTTTATTTGTGAAGCCATGCTTCTTTTTCATAAGCCTTCATATTTCAAGTCTTTCTTTGGAATTTTAAAATAAACACAAATAAAAGCAATGGTAATTTTAGAAAAAAATATTATTTTGATCTCGAAAGACATATTTTTAATTTCAAACCTGTGATATGAGTGTGACTGTTGATTCTGCTAGCCTGCCGTAAGACTCTTCTGTCTGTGCAGTACAGAAAGTAGAATATTTCATAGGTCATTTACAAGAATAAGTCTGTTGTTTGCTTTGTTTTCAGCTCTGAGATGGGTGGTCCCCACTTCTTAAAAATGACTGCCTTCAACCAATTCATTATGACTTTTCATTTTCACTGGCACTAGACCATCCTTCTCACAATTTTAGATGTTGTAAGACCGGGCTCGTTCACTAGTTTAGTGGCAAAATGCTAAGATTTATTAGAATGTTAGAGTTTTGAGGTTTGTGAATTGTTTCCTTTATGTTATATGTTTTTATAAGTGGCCCATAAGGGTTTATTATTAATTTTCTCTGTCACTGTTGTTCTGGATATTAATCTTTAGAGACACATCATTATTATAAGTTCTAAGGTTATTTTAAAGACAAATGCATCTGCCATCTACTACTAATAAAACTTAATGGCATTCTTAACAATAAAAAATTTTCTGGTAATTTGAAAAATATCTAGACATTCTAAATATTAAATGCCATCACTATGACATAGGAAAAATGGCCAGTTCATGGCTAATTATATAAAATAACTTTGTCGTTGAATTGATGGCAGAGTATACTTTGATATCCTCTAGATTTTGCAACCCTAAAATAGCCTGAGATGGACTGTTTAAATTTAACCTTCATCTCTGTTAAAGAATAATATACTTGCATACTCTGAGCAAAGGACAATTAATAGGACAGTTAATGCAGCATACACTAATGCATTCTCAGATTAATTAAGTGATAGAACATCCTATATTTTGTCTAGAATAATACAATAATCTCCTTTTTCTTCCTGGCAGAGTCAAAATATACAGCTCATTCCTCAACACTTTTCTTGTCTTAGCATATGGGAACAATTACACTGTAGGGAGTTCTGGAAGGGACCCTGCTTTCCACTCTCATTCTAGGTGTACTCTTCAGACCACAGAATCTTCTTTAAGTAAATAACTTGGCTAGATCCATACATGAACACACAGTAACAAACTGTCACTTGTGTCTTTTTTTTTTAAACTGAGGGTTTTGTTTGTTTTTATGTTTGGACCAGGGCGTGTGTGTGTGTGTGTGTGTGTGTGTGTGTGTGTGTGTGTGTGAGACAGAGAGAGGCCTACACTTACAATTTGTTTTGGAACTGTTTTCAAGCACTCTGATTCCTTACTCTGAAAACTTTCCAAAACCCTGGAAGAATACTAGCAGTAAAACAACAAAAATGCCTTTCTTTACTGTTCCATTGCATAATAATGTTATAATGTAATGAGTTTTCAACTCCTTTCAGAGGGTTAATAATCCTTTTTCAAATGCAAGCTTCTTATAGCAATGCTGCATCTCATTCTAGACTTGGGAGGGGAATATATTTTCTATTCTGGACTAAGAACTATGGTGAATGTATCATCTAAGTGCCTTTGTTGACATGGTGTGCTGAATGAATCCTAGTCTTCCCTTTTTTTTTTCTACCTAAAATAATTATTCAGTACCACAGGCACTTCATGGGGTTTTTCAAAACCAGCTGAATTTAAAATCTACCCCCAAACTGTTGTAGTGATTGTTTCATGTTATAATTTCTTCTCACTATTTACCACTGACATTTATCCTTGGACTCTCCATCCCCTACTGAGGCAACTTTGTTAATAGACCACTTTTCTGAAAGTCACCTAATGCATATTGCTGCCAATCACTGCAGTGTTGAGGACTTACTTTTTTTCCCATCGGACGCCACTGCATATGCGTTCTGCCTGCAGTTGATGATGCAGCCACAGGGCAAGTGGGTCCAGCGTTTGGACAAGACAAACACTGGGGTTACAGTGGTGGCCAGCAGGGTAAGTAGAAAGCTGAATGTCTCCAAGGGAAGGCTCTGAAACCCCACGACGTTCTGGACCACCATGTGCATCTGCAAGGGCAAGAGAACTTCAGACCTAACCTAAAATTATACTTTGTACTTCTCAAGCCTTTTCTCCACGCACGCTGCCTCAGTTCCCTTTCCAGTTCCTTCTCCTGATGGACAGCGGGGACCTCTGCTACGGAGCTGGCTCCCTGTCCTTGGTGATGGGCTCCTGGGAACGGCGGGGCACACCCCCAGGGTTGGGAGGGGTTTCAGCTTTTGAGTGCCGGATCTGCGCCCGCTGCCTATTCAAGACTCCACCAGAAAGGCACAGTCTACAACGTGGGGGACGCTAGCTAGGAAACAGGCGTCCGTGAAACCCGCATCTGATTCTCCGAATGGCCTTTGTCGCCTCCCTGGACCCTCACCTCCGCCCATGCGCGCTCGTCACAGTGGGGCGCCACTCTGCCACCTCTTAATCGGCTTCCTCCTGGAAGGAGGAACAAAAGCCTGTTTTGTTCCCTGTCTTCTCCCTCCACAACTGATCTCTCCTCCCCTCTATCCCGCCCTGCTGGAGATGGGCGTCGTCCTCTCTAGGCGGGAATGGAACGGCGAGAAAGGGATGACAGAAGGTTGTGGGGAAAAAACCTTTTAATTCCCTCTTTCCTTTTCTGAATACTCTCTGATTTTGCTGTGTGAGACAATATCCTTGGCCACCACCGATATGGAAAACTAAGTCGCTCGCGACGGAAAGCGATCCCCATGCCCCTGACTTTTGAAAGGAGAAGCATTTAGTAGTAAAGGTTTCGCAGCCAACTAGCCCTGTCCCGAACTGCCTTCTTCTAAGTGCATGTCTAAAACCCAGCGAGATACACTTGGAAGCGGACTTCACTGTGTGTCTCTTGGTGACTCCCCAAACCGGCGACGCCGGTCCCAACACTCATTTACACTGTCTGGCACACACACTCGCGCTTTGTGAGCAACTGCACTTTTACCATCATGGGCAGCCAAAGGACGACTTTTGTAAGCGCTAGGATCAAAGCGAAGCGCTTCTGCGCTACGCTCACGGTGAAGCTCCTGGTGCCATAGAGAGTCCCCCGGTTCTCACGCCTGCAGGCTTCAGCCCCAGCGGCAGCGGGCGCACCCGGTCCGAACACGGTGTCGGAGCTCGGAGAGCATCCCCCAGAGCGCCGCAGACTCGGGCCTGGAGCATCCTCTGGGGACAGGGAAACCACTCTCCCCGCAGTAGGAGGGGTCCCAGGAATTGAAGCTCCACGGGAAATTTCCTGGTAGTTGGAGTGGAGTCTCGGCGGCTCCTCCGAACACAGCAATCGGTGAGTGAGTGGGACTGAGAGGCCCACGAGGAGTCCGAAGGCCAAAGCGTACACGATAGAGAGGAATAGTACGTAGGAGCTGGAGCAGTCCACCAGGCAGCCCCAGGGCGTGCGCACGAAGGCGCCCCAGCCGCACAGCGGGAGCGCCGAGAGCAGCAGACTGGCTGCCCACACGGTCAGCACCACGCCGAGCACCTGGCCCGATCTTCTGGAGGCTGTCTGGCTCCCCACACCTCTGTGCATCGTATAAAAGTTGTAAGAGACTAGGAGAGTCGCCTTCAAGTTGCTAGAGAGGCCCTGGCATAAATACATTAAGGCAGAGGTGGTGCACAGAAATTGGAAGTAACCGGGGACCTCGTTTGGCCACTGCAAAAACATGAAGATGGTCACCGACAGGACGCTCATGAGATCATCCACAGACCAGGAAGCCACAAGCATGGACACAACAGTTCTGTTCTGCATTTTCAGCAGGGAAATTAGTGAATAAATGCTGCCCACCAAGGCTGCAAAAGTCATGAGACATGTCAAGCAAAAAAGATAGATATTCAGGGTTCCTGGCGGATTTAAAAGGTCCGTAGAATTATGATTCTCTTTCCACAGGCTAGAGTCATTTGTTGATAAGTTACTGAGAAATAAAGACATTGTCCTTGGTCAATATTTAATTTCCCTTATCAATGAGTCTGATAATTTTCTCAAAAGAAAGACCGGCTGCTGCAAATCAGATTTCATTCCTCCTACCAAGTTCCCCTCTAGATGTTCTCCTTGTCAGTCCTGCAGAAAATGGTCAGCCATGTCTCCTTTAGATCTGACTCAAGCTATATTTAAAAATTAGGTTCCATTTCAAGCATAAAAAAAAAAAAACCCGAACAGATAACTTTTCAACATTCCAATTAAAAACAAAGCAAAAACTCCTTCCCACCATCAAGTTTCAGGGAAGAAAGCCAAAAAAATAAACAAAACAAAACTCTTCAGGTACATTAAAAACCAATGATGTCTGGATCCTTTGGGGTCCTTCTTATGGAGCAAAGCAGCTTGTAGCTTGAGATAATCAAACTCTGTTCACTTTTAAGAGCAGTAAAATGATGCATTTGGTTCCAGAGCTGGATTCAAAGGCAGGAGATTGTCAGGTAGGTTTCAGCTTTGAAGGTGGAGAGAGAGAGAGAGACAGAGAGAGAGAGAGAGAGGGCGAGCGCGAGCCAGTCAGAGGGAGCTTGTGCACAGAATCCCATCTGAACCGCTGTGTTCTTCAATCAGCCTGTGATCCTCGGAGCTGCAGGAAGGAGGAGTCAGCTCCAAGCAGGAGAGAAGCAGGAAAAAAAGGGAGGGGAGTTCAGTGTGTGAACAAAATGATATACGTATATCTTAGACTGACTCTTTCAAAGCAAGAAACGGTGTACTTGCTAAGCTTCCCCTTTGGTTTCAACATGTAAAATTAGTCCAAATACTTGCTCAGGCTTGATGTGAACTACAAATATAACCTGTGAGAGGTCTAAGCTACTCCAGTAACTAAGGGACTGCTTTTATTCTTACCTAGACTTTCTGCTTCATAATCCATTGGAGGAAGAATATCATCAATCCCATGCATAAGAGTCAGATGTATCAGATTTCTTTTAAAAAAATAGTGTACTTAAGATTGTCGTTATAGTCCTCATTACTCTAAACGGGATTATACAGAATCTTTGGATAGAGTCACACTAGCTTTAGACATTTATTTATAACTATTTTCTGTCAATGGTATCAAGTAAGCAGGCTGTCATTCGAATAAATTATATGTCTAAGTATCCATAAAGTCGGAAGATATTACATAGGGCCTAAAAGGAAGATCACCCTACATTTTTAACCAGAGTATTTGGGACATACAATAGTTGTATCTCTTAATGGTCAATTTTGCAAGATGCGTGATTTAGCAAAGAAGTATCTAACAGAAGTACTTCTGGTCCAGCATTTCCCAGGATGCTTTAGGGCAGCATTCTTCTCAGCTTAGCCTCATGACCAGATGGCTGCATTCTCCCACATAGTGCTGGAGGTTTAAATGGAAACAGGGGAAGGGAAAGGAAATAGTTGATATTGATAATGATTTAATAACTGGAAGTAGTAATAGAACTGCGATCATTCTTTTCATTTTAGAAATAACTGAAGTATCATTTTGAACCCGAATCTGTTCAAGTAGAAAATGGTTGCATTAGTCATTACCAGCCACACCCTTCAATAAACACAGCAGGTATTTCACTTATCTTGATATGTTGATTGTTTGATTTTCCCCCTTACTCAGCAAATGGAAACAAAAAACACATGTAACAGCTAGCTCAGCACTCTAGCTCTCCCTACTGATAGTATAGACTGTGTAGGGCTGTGTGAGTAGGAAAGGTTGAGGGTATATTCATTTTAAAATAATGTTGATTCAGAAAGTATGATGAAAAACAAATCTTATTTTTGAAGACTTCAAAGTTCCATGACATGCCATTCTGTCTCTTCTCACAAACCTTATTCTTCCTTGCCATAGCAAAAATATTATTCTTCAATATCGTATTGAATCCTGCATTTTCAGTTAGGTTGGACAATAAGTCTCAGATTGTTAATATACAATGAATAGAAATTAATAATAGCTACTGTAGTACCATTTCAGGTCTGAGAACATTTCCCCTATTATTATCATCATTTCTGGGTTTTCCATTAAATATAAATTTGGAAAAGGGATACTTAATCACCATGTTGTACTGTTCTTTGGGCTATTACAGAAGAAACAAGAATGTTTAGCACATTTCCAAGGGTTGGTAGCAGAACTGCAGCCAGGAGAGAGCTAGTAGAGATATCTGAATTTAACTTTAGACTCTGCTATTGCAGGATAGGTAACCTAGGACAACAATTCTTGTACTTTCTCTGGCTGTCTGTTTCTGCATCTGTAAAATAAAGAGGCATCTTAGTCTATTTTGTGTTGCCAAAACAGAATACCACAGACTATGAAATTTATAAAGAAAAAAAATATTTCTCATAGTTCTGGAGGCTGGGAAATCCAATATCAAGGTTCCAGCATCTTGCAAGGACCTTCTTGCTGCATCATCCCATGGTAGAAGGTAGAACGGCAAGAGAGCATGAGAGAAAGAAAGAGAGAAAGAGGGGGCTGAACTCACTTTTTTTTTTCTTTTTAAAGAGCCAGGGTCTTGCTCTGTCACCCAGGTTGGAGTGGCAGTGGCACCATCATAGCTCACTAAAGCCTCCAACTCCTGGGCTCAAGTGATTCTCCTGCCTCAGCCTTCCAAGTAGTTGGAACTACAGGTTTGAGCAACCATGACCAGTTACGGTGTTTTTTTTTTGTTTTTTTTTTTTTGTATTTTTTAGAGGCAAGGTCTCACTATGTTGTCCAGGCTGGTCTCAAACTCCTGGCCTCAAGTGATCCACCCACCTCGGCCTCCTAAGGTGTTGGGATTATAGGTGTGAGCCTCTGCACATGGTCTCACTTTTATAACAAGCCCACCTTCTGTAACTAGCCCACTTCTGAGGTAATGGCCTTAATTCACTCATGAGAGCAGAACCCTCGTGATCCAATCATCTCTTTTTAGGCCCCACTTTCCAAGACTCTTGCACTTGTATTAAGTTTTCAACACATGAGCTTTGGGGGACACATTCAAAGCATAGTGAGGGATTTGACTGGATTATTTTTAGAGACCTTTCCAGTTCTAAAATTAAATGATACAATTTTTAAAAGTTCAGGTTAACCTTATCTCTATTTTATTTCCTGCCTACTTTATAATAATCAACATTGTCATCTAATAAGAGGTGGAAGCCAGCAATAACTAATGCTTGGGTCTGCATGATTTCTCCTTCTCTGTGATAGCCTGGGGGCTCCTGTTTATAAGAAGGTAGTATAAGACTCAAGCAGCCTGAAATCTTGAGCCAACTGAGAGATTAAGTCTTGCTCTGGAGATCTGTATGAACCTAAAGCAAGTTTTGTATGAATGAGAGGTAAAATTTGTTGTGTAAATCACTGAATTTGTGGAGTTGACTGATAATGGATAATACCCTAGCTCATCCCAATATTGTTAGATATATTATTGCTCCCCTTTCATAGGTGAGAAAACAGAGGCATGAGAGATTAATTGATTTGCCCAAAGTCACACATTTATTAAGTTAGATTTTAAAACTGTAGTTTAGTTCTGCATTCTTAATCACAACAGATACATATTTGCTAGTAACTCCTTTTTAGTTCTCCATCCTTGGGAACACTTTCAATGGATACAGATAATCTAAAGTTTTATTTCTGCTTTTCTTTCTTTCAAAGAATGTTTGAAATGTCTCATTTTATAAAATTTTAATTTGCAATATTTTACCAGCCTTTATATTTTATAATGTATTATATATGTATCTACAACATACATAAATATGTTTTATAATGCATTATATGTATTATAAATGTATATACGTATTTATAATGCATTATATGTATTATAAAACATAAAGGTTGGTAAAAGGTTGTTTATAAATTGAGTTCATGAACATTATTATATATGAGTGATGAATTTCTTGAAAATTGTAAACTCCTTAGCCATAATTTCATTTTCTTTAAAATACCCTCCTGAGGAAAAAAAATCATTCTCAATGCATTTTCTTTTTTTTTTTTTAATTATACTTTACGTTTTAGGGTACATGTGCACAATGTGCAGGTTTGTTACATATGTATACATGTGCCATGTTGGTGTGCTGCACCCATTAACTTGTCATTTAACATTAGGTATAGCTCCTAATGCTATCCCTCTCCCCTCCCCCCACCCCACAACAGGCCCCAGTGTGTGATGTTCCCCTTCCTGTGTCCATGTGTTCTCAGTGTTCCATTGCCACCTATGAGTGAGAACATGTGATGTTTGGTTTTTTGTCCTTGCCATAGTTTGCTGAGAATGATGGCTTCCAGCTTCATCCATGTCCCTACAAAGGACATGAACTCATCATTTTTTATGGCTGCATAGTATTCCATGGTGTATATGTGCCACATTTTCTTAATCCAGTCTATCATTGTTGGACATTTAGGTTGGTTCCAAGTCTTTGCTATTGTGAATAGTGCCACAATAAACATACATGTGCATGTGTCTTTATAGCAGCATGATTTATAATCCTTTGGGTATATATCCAGTAATAGGATGGCTGGGTCAAATGGTATTTCTAGTTCTAGATTCCTGAGGAATCGCCACACTGACTTCCACAAAGGTTGAACTAGTTTACAGTCCTACCAACAGTGTAAAAGTGTTCCTATTTCTCCACATCCTCTCCAGCACTTGTTGATTCCTGACTTTTTAATGATCGCCATTCTAACTGGTATGAGATGGTATCTCATTGCGGTATCTCATTGTGGCCATCTCTGATGGCCAGTGATGATGAGGATTTTTTCATGTGTCTTTTGGCTGCATGAATTTCTTCTCTTGAGAAGTGTCTGTTCATATCCTTTGCCCACTTGATGGGGTTCTTTGTTTTTTTCTTGTAAATTTGTTTGAGTTCATTGTAGATTCTGGATATTAGCCCTTTGTCAGATGAGTAGATTGCAAAAATTTTCTCCCATTCTGTAGGATGCCTGTTCACTCTGATGGTAGTTTCTTTTGCTGTGCAGAAGCTCTTTAATTTAATTAGATCCCATTTGTCAATTTTGGCTTTTGTTGCCACGGCTTTTGGTGTTTCAGACATGAAGTCCTTGCCCATGCCTATGTCCTGAATGGTATTGCCTAGGTTTTCTTCTAGGGTTTTTATGGTTTCAGGTCTAACATTTAAGTCTTTAATCCATCTTGAATTAATTTTCGTATCAGGTGTAAGGAACAGATCCAGTTTCAGCTTTGTACATATGGCTAGCCAGTTTTCCCAGCACCATTTATTGAATAGGGAATCCTTTCCCCATTGCTTGTTTTTCTCAGTTTTGTCAAACATCAGATAGTTGTAGATATGTGGCATTATTTCTAAGGGCTCTGTTCTGTTCCATTGGTCTATATCTCTGTTTTGGTACCAGTATCATGCTGTTTTGGTTACTGTAGCCTTGTAGTATAGTTTGAAGTCAGGTAGCGTGATGCCTCCAGCTTTGTTCTTTTGGCTTAGGATTGACTTGGCAATGTGGGCTCTTTTTTGGTTCAATATGAACTTTAAAGTAGTTTTTTCCAATTCTGTGAAGAAAGTCATTGGTAAATTGATGGGGATGGTATTGAATCTATAAATTACCTTGGGCAGTATGGCCATTTTCACGATATTGATTCCTCCTACCCATGAGCATGGAATGTTCTTCCATTTGTTTGTATCTTCTTTTATTTCATTGAGCAGCGGTTTGTAGTTCTCCTTGAAAAGGTCCTTCACATCCCTTGTAAGTTGGATTCCTAGGTATTTTATTCTCTTTGAAGCAATTGTGAATGGGAGTTCACTCATGATTTGGGTCTCTGTTTATCTGTTATTGTTGTATAAGAATGCTTGTGATTTTGCACATTGATTTTGTATCCTGAGACTTTGCTGAAGTTGCTTATCAGCTTAAGGAGATTTTGGGCTGAGATGATGGGGTTTTCTAGATATACAATCATGTCATCTGCAAACAGGGACAATTTGACTTCCTCTTTTCCTAATTGAATACCCTTTATTTCCTTCTCCTGCCTGATTGCCTGGCCAGAACTTCCAACACTATGTTGAATAGGAATGGTGAGAGAGGGCATACCTGTCTTGTGCCAGTTTTCAAAGGGAATGCTTCCAGTTTTTGCCCATTCATTATGATATTGGCTGTGGGTTTGTCATAGATAGCTCTTATTATTTCGAGGTACGTCCCATCAATACCTAATTTATTGAGAGTTTTTAGCATGAAGAGCTGTTGAATTTTGTCAAAGGCCTTTTCTGCATCTATTGAGAAAATCATGTGGGTTTTGTCTTTGGTTCTGCTTATATGCTGGATTATGTTTATTGATTTGTGTATGTTGAACTAGCCTTGCATCCCAGGAATGAAGCCCACTTGACCATGGTGGATAAGCTTTTTGATGTGCTGCTGGATTCGGTTTGCCAGTATTTTATTGAGGATTTTTGCATCGATGTTCATCAGGGTTATTGGTCTAAAATTCTCTTTTTTTGTTGTGTCTCTGCCAGGCTTTGGTATCAGGATGATGCTGGCCTCATAAAATGAGTTAGGGAGGATTCCCTCTTTTTCTATTGATTGGAATAGTTTCAGAAGGAATAGTACCAGCTCCTCCTTGTACCTCTGGTAGAATTTGGCTGTGAATCCATCTGGTCCTGGACATTTTTTGGTTGGTAAGTATTAATTATTGTCTCAATTTCAGAGCCTGTTATTGGTCTATTCAGAGATTCAACTTCCTCCTGGTTTAGTCTTGGGAGTGTGTATGTGTCCAGGGATTTATCCATTTCTTCTAGATTTTCTAGTTTATTTGCGTACAGGTGTTTATAGTATTCTCTGATGGTAGTTTGTATTTCTGTGGGATCGGTGGTGATATCCCCTTTATCATTTTTTATTGCGTCTATTTGATTCTTCTCTCTTTTCTTTTTTATTAGTCTTGCTAGCGGTCTATCAATTTTGTTGATCATTTCAAAAAACCAGCTCCTGGATTCATTGATTTTTTTGAAGGTTTTTTTTGTGTCTGTATGTCCTTCAGTTCTGCTTTGATCTTAGTTATTTCTTGCCTTCTGCTAGCTTTTGAATGTGTTTGCTCTTGCTTCTCTAGTTCTTTTAATTGTGATGTTAGGGTGTCAATTTTAGATCTTTCCTGCTTTCTCTTGTGGGCATTTGGTGCTATAAATTTCCCTCTATACACTGCTTTGAATGTGTCCCAGAGATCCTGGTATGTTGTGTCTTTGTTCTCGTTGGTTTCAAAGAACATCTTTAGTTCTGCCTTCATTTCGTTATGTACCCAGTAGTCATTCAGGAGCAGGTTGTTCAGTTTCCATGTAGTTGAGCGGTTTTGAGTGAGTTTCTTAATCCTGAGTTCTAGTTTGATTGTACTGTGGTCTGAGAGACAGTTTGTTATAATTTCTGTTCTTTTACATCTGCTGAGGAATGCTTTACTTCCAACTATGTGATCAATTTTGGAATAGGTGTGGTGTGGTGCTGAGAAGAATGCATATTCTGTTGATTTGGGGTGGAGAGTTCTGTAGATGTCTATTAGGTCTGCTTGGTGCAGAGCTGAGTTTAATTCCTAGATATCCTTTTTTTACTTTCTATCTCGTTGGTCTGTCTAATGTTGACAGTGTGGTGTTAAAGTCTCCCATTATTATTGTGTGGGAGTCTAAGTCTCTTTGTAGGTCTCTAAGGACTTACTTTATGAATCTGGGTGCTCCTGTATTGGGTGCATATATATTTAGGATAGTTAGCTCTTCTTGTTGAATTGATCCCTTTACCATTATGTAATGGCCTTCTTTGTCTCTTTTGATCTTTGTTGGTTTAAAGTCTGTTTTATCAGAGACTAGGATTGCAACCCCTACCTTTTTTGTTTTCCATTTGCTTGGTAGATCTTCCTCTTTCCCTTTATTTTGGGCCTATGTGTGTCTCTGAATGTGAGATGGGTTTCCTGAATACAACACACTGATGGGTCTTGACTCTTTATCCAATTTGCCAGTCTGTGTGTTTTAATTGGAGCACTTAGTCCATTTACATTTAAGGTTAATATTGTTATGTGTGAATTTGATCCTGTCATTATGATGTTAGCTGGTTATTTTGCTCGTTAGTTGATGCAGTTTCTTCCTAGCCTTGATGGCCTTTACAATTTGGCATGTTTTTGCAGTGGCTAGTACTGGTTTTTCCTTTCTATGTTTAGTGCTTCCTTTAGGAGCTCTTGTAAGGCAGGCCTGGTGGTGACAAAATCTCTCAGCATTTGCTTGTCTGTAAAGGATTTTATTTCTCCTTCACTTATGAAGCTTAGTTTGGTTGGATATGACATTCTGGGTTGAAAATTCTTTTCTTTTAAGAATGTTGATTATTGGCCCCCACTCTCTTCTGGCTTGTAGATTTTCTGCCAAGAGATCGGCTGTTAGTCTGATGGGCTTCCCTTTGTGGGTAACCCGACCTTTCTCTTTGGCTGCCCTTAACATTTTTTCCTTCATTTCTACTTTGGTGAATCTGACAATTATGTGTCTTGGAGTTGCTCTTCTTGAGGAGTATCTCTGTATTTCCTGAATTTGAATGTTGGCCTGCCTTGCTAGATTGGGGAAGTTCTCCTGGATAATATCCTGCAGAGTGTTTTCCAACTTGGTTCCATTCTCCCTGTCACTTTCAGGTACACTAATCAGATGTAGATTTGGTTTTTTCACATAGTCCCATATTTCTTGGAGGCTTTATTTATTTCTTTTTATTCTTTTTTCTCTAAACTTCTCTTCTCACTTCATTTCATTCATTTGAACTTTCATAACTGATACCCCTTCTTCTAGTTGATCGAATCGGCTACTGAGGCTTGTGCATTTGTCACGTAGTTCTCTTGCCATGGTTTTCAGCTCCATCAGGTCCTTTAAGGACTTCTCTGCATTGGTTATTCTAGTTAGCCATTCATCTAATCTTTTTTCAAGGTTTTTAACTTCTTTGCCATGGGTTCGAACTTCCTCCTTTAGCTTGGAGTAGTTTGATCGTCTGAAGACTTCTTCTCTCAACTCGTCAAAGTCATTCTCCGTCCAGCTTTGTTCCGTTGCTGGTGAGGAGCTGTGTCCCTTTGGAGGAGGAGAGGTGCTCTGATTTTTAGAATTTTCCGTTTTTCTGCTCTGTTTTTTCCCCATGTTTGTGGTTTTATCTACCTTTGGTCTTTGATGATGGTGACATACAGATGGGGTTTTGGTGTGGATGTCCTATCTGTTTGTTAGTTTTCCTTCTAACAGTCAGGACCCTCAGCTGCAGGTCTGTTGGAGTTTGCTGGAGGTCCACTCCAGACCCTGTTTGCCTGGGTATCAGCAGCAGAGGCTGCAGAACAGCGGATATTGTTGAACAGCAAATGTTGCTGCCTGATCATTCCTCTGGAAGTTTTGTCTCAGAGGAGTACCTGGACGTGTGAAGTGTCAGTCTGCCCCTACTAGGGGATGCCTCCCAGTTAGGCTACTCAGGGGTCAGGGACCCACTTGAGGAGGCAGTCTGTCTGTTCTCAGATCTCAAGCTGTGTGCTGGGAGAACCACTACTCTCTTCAAAGCTGTCAGACAGGGACATTTAAGTCTGCAGAGGTTTCTGCTGCCTTTTGTTTGGCTATGCCCTGCACCCAGAGGTGGAGTCTACAGAGGCAGGCAGGCCTCCTTGAGCTGCGGTGGGCTCCACCGAGTTCGAGCTTCCGGGCTGCTTTGTTTACGTACTCAATCCTCGGCAATGGTGGGCGCCCCTCCCCCAGCCTCGCTGCTGCCTTGCAGTTTGATCTCAGACTGCTGTGCTAGCAATGAGCTAGGTTCTGTGGGTGTAGGACCCTCTTAGCCAGGCGCAGGATACAATCTCCTGGTTTGCTGTTTGCTAAGACCATTGGAAAAGCGTAGTATTAGGGTGGGATTGACACGATTTTCCAGGTGCCGTCTGTCACCCCTTTTTTTGGCTACGAAAGGGAATTCCCTGACCCCTTGTGCTTCCCGGGTGAGGTGATGCCTCGCCCTCCTTTGGCTCATGCTAGGTGCGCTTCACCCATTGTCCTGCACCCACTGTCCAACAATCCCCAGTGAGATGAACCCGGTACCTCAGTTGGAAATGCAGAAATCATTTGTCTTCTTCATCGCTTACCCTGGGAGCTGTAGACTGGAGCTGTTCCTATTCGGCCATCTTGGCTGCACCCCAGTGCATTTTCAATAACCAGAATAACTTTCAGGAGACCATGAAAAAAGATTTCTAAGAAGCTTCTTTGTGCCTTAAAAAATTTTACTCAGTTCCTGTGAGTGAGCTTTGTTCATCTGTCTCACCTATAATGGAACTTTATATCTTCAATGATTGTAAATTGTGTCTTTAAATTTGTTAATGCAAATTTGCATTAATTTAAATAAAAGTTATGGTTCTGCCAGAATAGCTTAGGTGAAGACACTTATTTTTATCTCACTGCTTCTTTGGCTACTTTAAAACATGTACTATATGTAATACAGTATTATAAACTGTTAAACAACCTACAGAGTGCTAAATTACAGAAATTTTACAGGAATAAATTGCAGACAATTTAAACAACCTACAGAAAATTGCATGGCAATAATTCCATTAGGCTTGTAGTTTATGAAGCTCTGATGTAATTATATCTTTGCAAAGCACCACAGGCAATTTATTTCCCTAAAAGTCCACACTATATCTAAAAATTCTCGGAGCATGATATCTGAAAATCCTCAAAGACTAGGAAATAGTGTAAAAAGTTATAGTTGAATATTATAAAATAACATTCTTAGCAATGTGGGGCTTTGACAATAAAAAAGTTACCACAGGACCAAATGAAATAAGTTAGTTTTGTTTTATAAAAATAAATAAAGCATCATAGATAAAGTTAATCATGAAGGTATTTTTTTTTTCTGTTTTTAGAAATAGAGTGCTATGCACCCAAAACATTTTAGAGTACTGGCTTAGCATAAGATGCTTACAAACTTATCAACAAATCTCAAGTGAAAGATCCATAAATTATTCAATTTCATGCATAAAACATATAAATAAAATTCATATTTTATAAATACAAATAGATTTGAGTATATAAATTTATAACTTATATAATTGTATGTATATCTACATTATATAAAATACACGCATACTCTGCTTCAGCTGATAGTTTTCCAAGAAAGTGACTAGCAATTTGGCATCACAGGAGAACCCAAATGCTGTGATTTATTTTCTTCTTTTTCAATGTATCATTAAAAACCTACAACATCTTAGTACTATCTAATAACTATGAGTTTAGGACACAATTTCACATGGCTCAAAGTCAGAGAGACTTTTTTGTGAATATAATCTTTAGAAACCTGATTAATAAGCTGTCAGTTCAAAGACAGTACTTGACACTTGTGGGGATTGTTTTAAAGGTGTCTCAAATGGGAAATTACTTTTATTTTTAACCAATTCCATGGATAAGACACAAAAATGTTAAAGATATGTGTGTTTACATGTAAAAGTAGAACAGCTAGAGAGAAAAAGCTTTCTCATTAGTTGGTGTTGTTTATTCAGTTTTAATAATACCTATTCTGGACATGGATCTTAACCACAGTAGTTATGTAACATCTATTTAGCCATATAATAAATATATCTGGAAGAGAGCTTTCATATAGAGCTGTGTGAAGCTGTTAAATGGATTGCGAATGACTCAACCTATCCCATAGAATAAAAATATAAATAATATACTGTCCTCCTAAACATAATAATATACTATAAACATTCATTCATTCATTTATTCAACAACTATTTGAGTGTCTAGCAATCAGACCATGTACATTAGTGGTAAACAGAATACTGTAGTTACTGTTCTTGTGAATCTTACAGTCTAATCACTTTTCATATTATCACCTTCCTTAAATTCTTCTTTTTGAAAATAACCTCTCATCCCAAGGGACTCAATATAATAAATAATTAATGCTTGGGATGAGAATGTTCTGATGCAAAAAAATAAAGTTGACTAAGCCTTAAGTTAGTAATGAGGTAATGCAGGGAGAACCCTTGTTCCTTATTATGAGGTCCACTTGAGTTACAAGATTTCAAAGAAATTCTTTCAAACATCTCAGTATTTCAAGAATAGAATATTACCTTGAGCTAATTACTATCACTATAAATGATATGCAAGGGAGTTCTGCTATTAATTTTTAGTTTCTTTTTTATCAGAGAGCTGGTGAAAACTGTTATGTAGTTACGACAATGGTTTTTGGTTCTGATAGAATCCCTTTCTCTTCATCTTGTATGGTTTATGATATGCTAATCCTTGATGATTATGTACCACCCCCTGCACCCTCATTATTTCTGTCCCATACCAGGATGTATTGGGATATTGCTCCTTTTAAAATAATGCCTTTCTTAGCATTTTCAGAAATATCTCACTTTCTACATCTACAATTGCTCAAAGTTTAAGTACCAAAAGTTAATCAACCATGTTCTCAAAGATGGTTGCTCTTTCCAATCCTTTGCAAAATGAATGACATACATTGCCCTGGAAGTAATTTCTCTCTTTGCCAAGTGCTACAGCTTTGCTTTTTAACCTGAGCACTCTGTGTTCTCTTTAAGCATCATTATCTTGTCTTGAGGTGATATCTGGAGAATGTAATGGGAAATATGTTTTATCTTATGTCTTTCATCAGAAAAGTAACTGTGTTATTGAGTGAGGTCTAAGCTTTCCTCACTAGGTTAAAACAAGGACTTTGAAACATTTCTTGGTTTATTTTAGGGGTTGGCAAACTATGACCTGTTTTTGTACATAAAGTTTTATCAGAACACAGTCACACCCATTCATTTACTTTTTCTTAAATGGCTACATTCAAGCTACAACAACAGAGTTGAACTCTGAGTAGCTCTGAAAGGAGCTATGTGAACAAGAAAGACAAAAATATTTACTATCTGGCCCTTTTCAAAAAACATTTTGTTGATTCTTGGTTTATATGGAGGAATATTTCAATGTAAAATTATCTCTGGTAGAATGTTTGGGTCATTTGTGAGATTTAGACATATCCATACACCCTGTCTATTCTAAAATACATAATAATATGCTATATTATGTAATAAATATATTTATACATAAATTATGTATAATTATTAATAATATTTATGGCAACAATATCAATGGCTAATATTTTAATTCTTATAATGTGCTAGGCATTCTTCTAAGTTATTTACATGTATTAACTAATTTAATTTCACAGTCTTATGGTATGGGTATTAGGTTTAGCCCCATTTTCCAGACAGAGGAACTGAAGCAGAGGTTAAATAACCAACCTATAGCCACACTGCTGGTAATCGAAGGGGTTAGGATTGAACTTGATTATTCAGAGACAGAACCCTGGCTTATAGGGACAGGATGGTAGGTGCTTTATTTTTCTGCCCTATTCTCTAGATTTCTTGCCTTTCCAAACATACTGTGAGCCTCAGTAAATCAGAGTGATTGCTAGGGAAGAGAACTTCTTGAGGCAATACATATTTTACAGTTCCTAAATCAGCAGATGGCCTCCTGTTCTTTCTTTTCATTTAGTATCATTGAGCTCCAAGTTCTTACAAAAATTACCTCAGTAGCTTTTAGTTTCCTAAGAAAAAGTTAGGTTTTGTCCAAACTCTACACTTGAGATGTTAAAGCACGCAAACAAAATCATTTGTTCACCGCAGTTCAGTGACAATTAGAAATTAAACTGATCTCCCTCATTTTCCTCATGCTTTGTCTACTCACAAAGTTGGAAGTTCTTTAAGATATGTAGTGAGAAATATCCCTAGTTTGGGTGTATTCAGGAGTGCAGTGGTCATGGCTCATTGTAGCGTCGACCTCCCAAACTCAAACCATCCTCCCACCTCGTTTTTTGATTTTTGTGTAGAGACGAGGTCTCACTCTGTTGCCCAGGCTGGTTTTGAACTCCTGGGCTCAAGTGATCTGTCTGCCTTGGCCTCCAAAGTTCTGAGATTACAGGCATGAGCCACCACGCCCAAACTTTAGGTGCATTTGAAGTGAAGCATTTATGAAGGATTTTTAAAAATTTTGAATGAAAGAAAAACGTAGTGAGGGCTTAAAAATAAGAGTCCTGCAAAGGTGAAAAGTGATATCAATTCTCTAGTTACTATGGTGGAGAAGTTGGAATCTGATAACCTAAATGTCTCATTGTGGATTTCTTTGAATCCTTCATCAAGTCACTTAAGCTATGGCTGAATTCCACTATCTTCATAAACATAATAATATCTATCTTGAAGAACTTTTAAAGCTCAGATGAAAAGCAGATCAGAATAACAAAGGTCACTGTATACACAATTAAATTCTCCATTTGATGCTCATTAATATGCTTTACAATGAAAAGAGTGGAGAGAAAGGAAAGAGGAAGTGATAGAGAGAGAGAGAGAGGGAGAGGGGAGAAGAGAGAAAAGGGAAGGAAGAAAGAGAATACATAGTGGACGTGGATTTGAGGTGTCCAAGCAGATGTATTTTGGTGCTTGTGTCAAGGCGTTGGAATTTAAAGAAATATGGTCATCCCAGAAAGGTTAGGGATATAGACAAGTTAATAGACAAAGATTACATATTTTAAAGTTTATTTGTTTCAAAAAGGATTTGAGATGAATGCCATTAAGTCAGATTTGAAAATGGGCTAAATATAACTAAAGGTATGGCAAACAACAACAGTCACAAAAGTACAAAAGAAAACTATCTTCTCCTTTTGCAGAAATGATGACTATTGGCAGTTTCACGTGTACATACAAATGAAATCTACACTTACATATGTTTCAATATCTTGTTCTTTCATGAATCAAATTTCATTGGAGATCACATCATATCATCACTTAATTATTTTTATATTACTATTTTGTATTTTATTTTATGGATATACTATAATTTATTTAATTATTTTCTAACTGAAGTACGTATTAGTTTTTTTTCCTATTATTTTGCTTTACAAAACAATCCCAAATGCTGTCTACAAGAGACTCACTTTAGAACCAAAGACATAGTAGGTAAAAGTGAAAGGATAGAAAAAGATATTTCATGCAAATAGCAGGAAAAAAGAGAGCAGATTATTGTAATACCAGACAATAGAGACTAAACAAAAAAAATGCTTACAAGAGACAAAAAAGGACATTGTAAGTTAATAAAAGTGTCAATACAACAAGAATACATAACAATAAAAAACATTTATGCATCTAATATCAGACCATCAAAATATACAAAACTGGGCCAGGCATGGTGGCTCATGCCTGTAACCCCAGCACTTTGGGAGGCCGAGGGGGGTGGATCACCTGAGGTCAGGAGTTCAGGACCAGCCTGGGCAACATGGCGAAACCCCATCTCTACTGAAAATACAAAAAGTAGCCGGGTGTGATGGTGCGTGACTGTAATCCCAGCTACTTAGGAGGCTGAAGCAGGAGAATTGCTTGAACCTGGGAGGCTGAGGTTGCAGTGAGCTGAGATCGCGCCACTGCACTCCAGCCTGGCGACAGAGTGAGACTCAGCGTCACCAAAATAAAAAAAAGAAAAAATACAAGGCTGAATAATGTTCCATCATATGTGTGCATCACATTTTGTTTATCAGTTTGTCTGTTGATGGACATTTGGGTTGCTTCCACCTCTTGGTCATTGTAAATAGTGATGTTATAAAAATTCATGTGCAATATCTCTTTGAGATTCTGCTTTAAATTCTTTGGATATATACCCAGAAGTGAAATTGTTGGGTCATGTAGTAGTTCTATTTTTAATTTTTAAAGGAATCATCATATTGTTGTTCATAGTGTTTGCACCATTTTATAGTCCTACTAACAATACATAAGGGTTTAAATTTCTCTGCGTCCTTGTCAACACTTGCTATTGTCTTTTTTTGATAGTAGTCTTTGCTATCACTTTTTAAGTTTTACCTGCTGAATTTATTTTGGCATAAGAGCTTAGAAAATAACATTATTTTATTTTTATTTCCCAAGAAGCTATTCAGTTGCACCAACATAATTTTACGTATTCTATCTTTTCCCAATTGATTTGATATGACACCTTTAATATACAGGTATAATAATTTCCCATATGAATTAGGTCTATTTGAGACTTTCTTTTCTGTTCTACCTATTCTTTTCTGTTGATTCATCCAAAGAAATAATATTTTTCAATGAATTCAATTGAAGTATAGCATGAATACAGAAAAGTGTGCAAATGATAAGTGTGCAGTTCAATAAGTTTTCACAGAGTGAACTAACCTTGAAGAAAAACACATTAGCAGAGTGTAAGAAGCCGCGTTGTTCTCCTTCTAGTTACTACCTTTCCTCCTGCAACCACTATGCTGATTTTTAATCTGTAATTATTGATTAGGTTTCCTTGGAATGATAACGTACTTTTGTATGTCTGGCTTCATTTGTTCAACATAATGTTTGTAAAATTTATTCATGTTTTGGAATACAGTGGTTTGTTCTTTCTCTGTGAGGTATAGTATTTAAATTTATGAACCTTCCACAGTTTATTTATTAATTCATCACAGATGAACATCTATGTTGTTGCCAGTTGGGGGATACTGCAAAGAAATGCTGGTACATTTTACCTTTGCAAGCTAACTTGCAAAGCTAATAAATGAGCTTGCTACAGTTTCTTGGCAAAAGACATAGAATTCCTGGTTCAGAAATAAAAGACTGCAACAGCAGTAGTCAGAATATTATCATTTTCTTTTGCCAGTTTCCCAACCCCAAATTCCTAAAGGAATAGGTGGAGAGGGTCAGGTAACATCCATACATACAGTAAGGGTTATGTTAGAGAAGAGGAACCCTGAGTTTAGAGAATGCAAATACAGTCATGCGCCACATAATCACATTTTGGTCATAATGAAGTTTCAGTCGACGACAGACTGTATATAGAAAGGTGGCCCCATATGAGCCGAACAATTCCTGTTGCCTAGTGACACTGTAGCTGTTATAACATGGTAGCACGATGCATTACTTACATGTTTGTGGTGACGCTAGAGTTCTTGTCTCTATTTTTAATTCTATTTTTTTGAAGGAAGGATGGCTGATTTTGTAGAGAACAATAAAATAATTAATATAATTATTAGAGAAGAGTTGGGTAAAATTATGTTTACACCATCTTTGACTGGAAGTCCCTTTAATAAATAGCTAGTGTAAACAAACCTGTTGTGCTTCCAGTCCAATGCAAGTCTAGTGCATACAATTAGGTGCAGGACATAATACTTGATAATAATGATAAATGACTATGTTACTAGTTTACATATATACTGTACTATGCTTTTAATTGTTATTTTAGATTTTGTGTCTTGTACTTACAAAATGAAGTTAACTGGAAAATAGCCTCAGGCAGGTCCTTCAGGAGGTAATCCAGAAGAAGGCGTTGTCGTCATAAGAGATCACAATTCCATGCATGTTATTGCCCCTAAAGAGCTTCCAGTGGGTCAAGATGTGGACATGGAAGGCTGTGATGTTGATGATCCTGATCCTGCATAGGCCTAGGCTAATGTGTAGGGTCTTAGTTTAAAAAAAAATTTAAGAAGTAAAAAAATTAAAAATTAAAAATATAAAAAGTTTATAGTATAACTATATAGAGAAAATATTTTTGTTTAACTGCACAATGTGTTTACATTTTAAGCTGTGTTATTACAAAAAGTCAAAAAGTGAAAAACATTTTAAGTTTATAAACTTACAGTAAGCCAAGATTAATTTATTATTGAATAAATAATTTTTAAAAATAAATCTAGGACAGACTAAGTGTACAGTGTACATAAAGTCTACAATGGTGTACTGTAAAGTTCTAGGCCTTCACATTCACTCATTATTCATTCACTAAATCGGCCAGAGCAACTTTTAGTCCTGCAAGCTTCATTCATGGTAAATGCCCTGTAGAAGTATACCATTTTATCTTTTATAGCACCTTTTTACTGTATGTTTTTAATGTTTAGATATGTTTAGATACACAAATATTTAGGCAAATATTGTGTCAACAATTGCCTACAGTATTCAGTACAGTAACATGTACAAGTCACATGCTGTACAGGTTGGCAGCCTAGGAGCAACAGGCTGGACCATCTAGCCTAGGTGTGCAGTAGGCTATACTATCTAGGTTTGTGTAAACACACTCTATGATATTAGTGTAATCTAGTAACAAAATTACCTGAGGACTCATTTCTTAGAACATATCCCTATTGTTAAGTGACATCTGATGGCAGTTTATAATGAGAATACCTGCCCCTTACTCTGGAGACACTATCCCTGTCTTCCAAGGCTGTAAGCAGATTTGCCCTTTACTTTGGAAGGAGACAGTTTCTTTTTCTTCCCAGGCTGTTTGGTATACAAACCGCACTGAAAAGAGAACCCAGAAAAAAGGCAGTCGGTGTCTTTTCTTGTAAAACCTGCAGAAACATGAGAGACCCATGGAGAATTGTCTCCCCACAGGAATAGGACAAGGTTGTCCACTATTGGCATTACTGTTTAATATATCATTAATAATATTACCCAGTGCTATGAAGAAAAATACAAGCAGAGTTTGAAAAGGATAGATGTAAATAAAAAAATTATCCTAATGTGCAGATGAAATTATCATAAACATAAAAGTACCCAAAGAATTTATAGATAAATTATAACAGCTACAAAGAGAATTCAATTGTTGGGTATAAGATCAATTTTAAAAAATCAGTAGCAGGAACAGACAACTTTAAAAATCTAATAAAATACTTATTTTCATAATTTAATTCCTTGAAGCACTGAAAGTTATGAAGTATTTGAGGAACTAATTTAACCAGTAACACTCAAGCTCTACTTAGAGAAAACTTGAAAGCTTTAATAAAAAAGGTATAGAAGATGATCTAAATAGATAGAGAGATTCTATGATTCTGGATAAAGTGTCTTAGTATTAAAATGATAGAAATTATTTCTAAAAATATCTATATACTAAATATAATCCACATAAAAATTCGACTTGAATTTCTTGAGAAGTTCAATGAACTTAAATTGCTTGGAAAAAATAGAGGTCCATGAAAAGCTAAGTCAGTATTTTAAAAAAGCAACAATACATGCAATAAAGCTACTGTTGCAAAGGTAGTGTGGTATTGGTACAAGAACATATGAACTACCAATACAACAGAAGACAGTTCAGAGACAGGACTGAATGTATATGACAACTTAACTTACTGTATTTCAAACATGGTCCCATGAAGTACAGGCTGTAGGGTAGATGATAATGGGAAAACTGACTTACTTTATGGAAAAAAATAAAAATGGCTCCTGACGTTGTAACACAAGTAAGTGTAATTTTAGATGGATTAAAGACCTAAATATAAAAAGCAAAACTAAAAAAAGCTCTTTGTAATTTGGTACAGTGAAGATCTTATTGATTAAAACTTCAAACATAAACTACAAAGCAATAATATTGATGAAGCTTTTTTCATCAAAATTTAGAATTTTTGCTAAAAAGCAAATGCCATGCCCAAGGTTTATGGAGAGATGAGAAAAGGAAAGAATATTTTTGCAGTTGCTAGAACTGAAGAAAAACAAATTATTAGCATCTATTGAAAGGAATAGCTCCAAATCAATAGTAGGAGGACAACTGTCCTGATGGAAAAATAAGAAAAGAGTATGAACAGGCAATTTATGAAAGAAGATATACTGAAAGCCAAGAAGTATGTGAGATTGTAAGTTTTTCAGTAAATATTTCAGTAAATATTTGTTTTTTGAGTTAAGCTGCCTTTGTAAAAAAAAAAAAGGCAAAAAAATAAAGATGAAAACATAGCATCTTGTCAGTTCAGGTCAGGTTCTCAAACTCTCTGCGAATAATTTGAGTGTCCTGAACATGGTGTTAGGTTGAGGTAGAGAGAGAGAGAGAGGTCTTTAAGACATTCTAAACAAGGGGATTTTGAATAAAGTCGTTATAGAGGTCAGAGAAATAAAAAAATCAGAGTTTTCATGATAAAAATAATAATACCTTGCATTTATTGAGTGGATACTTCATACTAGAGTCTCTTCCAAGGGTTCTACTTGTGATAGTTATCTCTGAACATTTATGGAGTTTTTATTAGAGAAATGATATTAGATTTATTTCTTTTTTATTTATTTAATTAATTAATTTTATTTTTTTTAAAGTTTCAGGCAGGATGTGCATGTTTGTTACATAGGTAAATGTGTGCCACGGTGGTTTGCTGCACCTAACAAGCCATCACCTAGGTATTGAGCCCAGCATGCATTAGTTCTTTTCCCAAATGTTCTGCCCCACTGCCCTCCCCCTACAGGCCCCACTGAGTGTCGTTCCCCTCGCTATGTCCATGTGTTCTCATTGTTCAGCTCCCACTTATAAGTGAGAACATGCAGTGTTTGGTTTTCTGTTCTTGCATTAGTTTGCTAAGGATAATGGCTTATGGAACAGAATAGAGAACTTAGATTTATTCTTTGATTCTCCAAATGGGAAAATTAGAACTAAGGGAAATTAGAAAGGGATAGATTTAAAGTGAATATATGAATTAAAAAAAAGACCAGAACTCACTGAAATTCAAATGAAGATATCCTGAAGTAGTGAGATTTCCTATTATTGGAAGTGTCCAAAGAGCACCTGGATTCTTATTGGCTTGGGAAGTTTTAGAAATGATTCATGATTTCAGTTGAAGGTCTGAAACTCTGTGATTCTAGAATCCATTTCTTGGATCTCATTAAAGAAGGTAATGCATCTTTAGGAATAAAAATATAGGCTTTTAATAATGAGATATTGTAGTTATTACTAGATTTAAATTATTCTACAAGACTTTGAGACACATATTAAAGTAATAAAATTGTAGGCTAGTTAATATTTGATTAATAAAACCAACAAAAGACACTTGTCTCTTAAACATATCCCCAGAAGAGTTTTACTCTACTGTTGACATAGCCAATACCCAATGCACAACTGCCACCAGTTTATTTAAAAGGCAAGAATGACACAAGACTACAAAATATTCTTTTTGTAGTTCCACTTATCCACAATTAAACACATGCAATACACAAATCTTCTAGTTCTCTAGTTTAGATTGATTTTGCTCTCTCTCTCTCTCTCTCCATCTCTCCCAAAGCTTCTAATTTTGTTTCTCATTTAGTTCTTCCAAACAGAATTCTCTTTTAGAAACCTGTGGAAATATAAATGCCTAGAGGCAAAATGTACCTAGAACTTTTTGTTTTCTCAGGACTACAGAAATGGTCTCTGTCTTTTGTTATATTCTAGCATTTAAAAATCATGATGCATCTTACTATTTTTATCTATATAGCTCCTACCATTTTTTAAAATCTGTAACGTGATACAGTTTACTATGTAATTTCACCTTGTGATCTTGTTTATTCTTACTACAGTGTAGTTGATTTAACAAATACTTAGGATTCTTTATTATTTGTCTTTTTTATATGACAACAGACCTTTAACATTTGCAATAACTATATTCCAAAATTTTCGGAACGTACAATGCAATAACTTCCTATGGTATATAATTTCCCCCATAGAATTTTTTCCAGTCAAGAACTATCTGTTTTGGGGCAGCTTATGACTCTTCTGCATTTTAATCACCATCGTGAGCATTTGACTCTCTTTCAGAGGCCATTTTTATAAAAAAATTTTTTCTTAGAGTTTCATGAGAATTGCAAGTAGATTAAAAAAACATTTTTAAAGATGCAGCATGTTCACACGCATGTTTATAGCAGCACAATTTGCAATTGCAAAAATATGGAACCAGTCCAAATGAGTAGATAAAGAAATTGTGGTATGTATATATATATATGATGGAATACTAATCAGCAATAAAAAGGAACAAAATAATGGCATTTGCAGCAACCTCTCTGGAATTGGAGACTCCACTTATTCTAAGTGAAGTAACTCAGGAATGGAAGACCAAACATTGTATGTTCTCACTTATATGTGGAGCTAAGCTATGAGACACAAAGGCATGAGAATGATATATTGAACTTTGGAGACTCGGGGGAAAGGGTGGGGGCTGGCGAAGGGCAAAAGACTGCACATTGGGTACAGGGTACACTGCTTGGGTGATTGGTGTGCCAAAATCTCACAAACCACCACTAAAGAAATTATTTACGTAACTAAACACCACCTCTTCCCCAAAAATCTATTGAAATTAGAAAATTAAAAATAAAAAAAACAGTATTATGTGCTTGAAGTTTGCTAAGAAAGTAGATCTTAAATGTTCTAATGACAGCAACAAATGGAAACCATGTACATTAATGAATATGTTATTAGCTTGTTATTTTTTTCACAATGTCTATGTAGTATATCAAAACATCGCATTGTATACTATTAATCTATAAAAATTTTATTTGTTAGTTATACCTCAATAGAACTAAAAAAATGTTAATAAAAGAAGACTGAGATTAGGAAGGCAAAAAAAAAAAAAAAAGACGATGTGTGTTCAGCTAGATTCACTTAATAGTTAAATTTCTCATTTCTGTGCAAAAGACTTATGTACAAATTAGGCAAAAATATTGATAAATTAATGGATAGCATGAACCTTCTACATTTGTTAGAAATATTCAATGTGAAGAATGTTTCATTGGGAATGGTAAGCCCTACCTATATGTCAAATAAAGAACTGACTTTAAGTTGCTGGGAACTAATTTCACGTTGAGAATGTTTATCTAAAGTCAATATTGACAGGAACATGATATTTTACAGTGCTTTAGAGATCTTAATAACATGAAAAATATTCCTTTTGAAGGTAGCAGAATAAATAACTAATTTCTGTCTTAATTATGTGGTTCTGAGGCTATGTCTTTTTTTTTTTTCTTTTTTTTTTTTGAGATGGATGGAGTCTCGCTCTGTCTCCCAGGCTGGAGTGCAGTGGCGTGATCTCGGCTCACTGCAAGCTCCGCTTCCTGGGTTCATGCAATTCTCCTGCCTCAGCCTCCCGAGTAGCTGGGACTATAGGCGCCCGCCACCGCGCCCGGCTATTTTTTTGTATTTTTAGAAGAGACGTGGTTTCACTGTGGTGTCGATCTCCTGACCTCGTGATCCTCCCGCCTCGGCCTCCCAAAGTGCTGGGATTACAGGCGTGAGCCAATGCGCCCGGCCTGAGGTTGCCTTTTATGGCCCCAGTAGTAGCTGGGCTATGAGTAATTTATGGAGACTCTGTAGGTTAGCCTGTTCTTTGGAGGTATGACTTGAGTGCTTTAGAATCTAATAAAGTGTTTCTCTGAAGCCATCAAGAGTCCTACTATGATGAACTTTTATGCCAACTAAGATTTCATTTAAGAAGATAGCATATCTGAAGCATAGTAGATTTTGTAGTAAAAATCTCAAATAACTTGATGTCTTTTTGCAAAGAGATTGATTTTTGAGGGGCTCTGACATTTTGTGAATCAATTCAAAATAGAGAAATAAGTTGTCACCATTTAAACCCAAGTTTGACACAAATCCCTAAATGTGATATGTGCAATTGCATCTAAACATAAAAATCATAGACTTGTGACTCATTATTCTTATCTATCCACCTCAGAGTTAGTAGTTGAGTTTTTTTGTAGGCTTAGAGAATAATCATAACTCAGATAGTGGGTGCAACCTTTAAAATTTTACTAATAAATTGTTCAAGAACTAAATAGGCATTATAATATTTTCAGGCTAGTTTTTACAATGACCCTTTAAAGACCGTTAGGATTTTCATAGTATTTTGCCATTATAAAATTGAGTTGGGTGGCTCAAGGTTAAAAATAAATTGATCTAGTGCATTAGCTGTATTTGTTGGTAATTATCCTAAACTTGGTATCAGTCTCTATTATTATAAATAAAAGTATAAAACACATAGTGAATTTTAAGAGTAGATGTATTATTACACACAAATGAGATATAGAGTCCCTGCAATAGCTCAATGAATTAAAAAGAAAGTATTTGATTTGTCCTTGAAAGAGCTTAAAATTTCAATCTGCTGTTAGAATCAAAGAACTGCAAAGAACCTTTCAGATGATTAGTCAGTGCTTTATTTTGGAGAGGAGGAAACTGAGGCTCAGAGAGGCTAAGTGACTCACACAATCTCAGGAGCTAGCTAATGGCAGAGCTGGCCTTGATTCCAAGTCTACCAAGCCTCAGATAGTGCTTTAGTTTTTTGGCAGCATTTTTGAGATGATGAAGTTTCCTTACTCTTCTGCTGGGCAATCAAAGCGTTTCAGTAATGATTTTCTGATGTTTTAGGTCTCCCACACCCCAGCCCCTTTCTGCCCAATTAGAGAGTCTGCCCAATTAAATCAGAATCTCTAGGATGAGTATACTCTTTTTCTAAGCTTCCCACGTTATTCCAAGGTGCATATATATTTGAAAACCAGTAGTTTGTGATTCAGACAGTCTAGGGTGCGGCCTGGGAAGTTTATATTTCAAACATGTTCCCAGGTGATACTGATGCTGCTGTCCCAGGTACCATTTAAGAACCACTGGTCTAATCTTTCTTACTCCATTCCTCTGCTTTTTAATCACTCACACAATGTCCTGAATCCTACCTTCTAAATATCCTCATATACAAGTCTCCTCTTCAGTTACTTGCCTCTGTCCTAATTCTCCCCTCTTGAAATTTCTTCCTCCCTGTGTTCTTGTTTCCAGTCTTACCCCCACACTAATCCATTTCTACATTGCTGCCAGAGTGATCTTTCTAAAAATATGTATATTATATAACCGTGACTCTACAGGTTTGAATTATTAATTTTAAGTGTGAAATTCCATGAATTTTATAGTCAAACTGCATTTCTACTACTTATTCCATATTGTCCCCAACTCCAGCTCATTCTTTCTTGGTCCCCAGGAGAATCTTAGCACTCCTCCATCTTGCACAGAATTGAGTGTAGACTTCTGACATAGCATTTGTTACAGTGGTTATTTAGACAGGAGTCCTCCTTTCTGCACTGTGGAAGGAGGTAAGGTAATATATCTTGCTTATCATTATATACCACGGATTTATTGTGGTACTTGGAACAAGGAACAGTCCAATAAACATCTGCCGAATGAGTGGGTTGCATTTTTAAAGTCATTTACTCCAAGTTCCTCCAACATTTTTTTTTCTTTTTTTCAGACAGGGTCTTTCTTGCTTCTGTTACCCAGGCTAAAGTACAATGGCACTGTAGTGATATTTTTTCACTCAGACTGCATTTTTTTTTTTTTTGAGACAGAGTCTTGCTCAGCCACCCAGGCTGGTGTGCAGTGGCGTGATGTCGACTCCCTACAACCACCGTCTCCTGGGTTCAAGCGATTCTTCCGTCTCAGCCTCCTGAGTAGCTGGGATTACAGGCACCCGCCGTCATGCCCTGCTAATTTTTGTATTTTAGTAGAGATGGGTTTTCACGATGTTGGCCAGGCTGGTCTTGAACTCCTGACCTCAGGTGATCCGCCCACCTCAGCCTCTCAAAGTGCTGGGATTACAGGTGTGAGCCACTGCGCCCGGTCCCAGACTGCTTTTTGAAAGAAATTAAGAGCTTTGAAATCTTAACTATCTAAAAATGTCAATATTTCTTCCAGACAAAATATTGTAAGCTATTATGCAAACATAATTTAAAATGTTTAGGGTTTGATTTTCATCATAGTCGGGTACTTGTAATTGTATAGCAGAGTACATTGTGATCCTACATTAATGAGATGTATTTATGACAGTAATAGGCATATCATTCAAAACATTATTCTGTAACTTTGATGGTGACATTTTACTCCATTTACATAAATCGTGGGGAGTACACATATTCGCAAACTGAAATTGAAAAGAAGATAATAATGTATTTTTAAAAGAACTCAATTTGAAACCCTAAATAAATTTTAAGGTCTGATTGTAATGTTAATCACCATTATGTATTATCTAAATATTTGCATATAAATTAATTTGGATTTAGGATGAACTGAAATTTATTAAAGGCCAATGTTACTGTATAAATACTGAATCTTTATATAAAAATCACATACTGGGCTAAAAGCAGAAGCTTCCTATTTTCTCCATAGGATAAAATCAGCTCTCCTACCTGTGGTAAAGCACACCAGCATTGTGATGATAATATCATTCAAGGTGTTCCATTCTCCATGACCTAAGGGGTGGGCATGTGGCCCAAGCTAAGCCCATTGGCTTCTTCCTCCTGCTAAGCCCATTGGCTGCTTCCTCCTGTAATTTTGAAACCTGAGGAAATGAGGAAGAAAATGGTTGAAGCCAACTGATCTAAATGGCAGTGCCAAGGGTTGGTTAATCAGCGGTGCAACATGCCTTCAAAGAACTAGGGTTTACCTTGTTTTATTGGACATCTAGTTTCTTCAGTGTGTAGACTTCTCTGAGAGCCAGGTTTACCTCATGGTCTCAAGATGGCTGCCACGCATCCAGATATCACAAGACAATGTCTAAATGTGGAAAAGTTAATTTTCCTTTGTAATATCAAAGAACACTATTTACAAAATCTTACCACTAGGTTTTCTGTCATGTATTATTGGCCAAAATTGCCTTGTAAGTCCATTCTTAAACCAATCATGACAAAGCAAGTGGGATTACTATGATTGACTCTGTCTGACTTCACATGATTCTAATGTAGCCTCAGTACTTTTTGTTGTTGTTGGGAAAATATCCGAATTCAGCATAATGTGAAATAATTTCTTACTTTCATTTAGCTGTATTCTAGTTTCTTCAGTTATGTTCATATAGGAGAGACAATCTAACCCAAGTTTAGGAACACAAGCTCTTTCTTCATATTTCTGCTCTGTATTTGTTAGCAGTACCTCAGTTTTTCTAACTCTGTAGTAACTCCATAGGGCTATTGTGAGGACTAAGTGAGTTAATGTAAGCAAAGTTTTAGAACAGTATCTGGTACGTAGTAAGCTCTCAATACATGTCAATAAATTTTATTAGCTAAGGTAGAGGCAAGGGGTGGAGAGAGAAGCTTCTGGCATAACTTCAATTTACCACATTTCTAGGAAGATTCCAATTTGTATTTTCAGATATACTCATTTTGGACTACATTAGTCAAACAGATGATAATAATAACCACTATTTATTGGACATCTTTGATGTGTAAGGAAATGGCTAGGAATTTTTTGTGTTTATTGTTTATAACCTCATGTCTATTCTGTGAGGCAATGGTCATAGAAATATTCTTTCCTTGTAATAACTTCTAACATGTTTTGAATTGTGATTCTAACCATAAAAAATCAATCGAAATAAATGGCAACAAGGTCAAGGTCAAGGATTTTTAATAAAACAGTTTTTATTATGAAAAATTACATACATTTAAAAACAGAAAGAAGAGGATAACGAACCCCCATTACCCAACTTCAACAGTTCTTAACTCATGGTCAGACTTGTTTCGTCTGTGCTCCACCACTTCTTTCTAGATTATTTTAAAGCAAATTCCAGATACCACGGCTTTTCATCTGGAAATATTTTAGAATGTACTGTATTTTTCAAAGATAAACATTGCTTTTTAAAATCATACCATGACACATAAAAATACTAACAAGTTCTTATAAAAACAATTATCTAGACTGGATTTGTATTCTTTAATTGCCTCCTTTCTCTTTGGTGTGATAAGAAGTAATATTCTAGGCCCATTTTACATGTTTGCTGCACCCAAACTGGCAATGAATTATTTTTTAGTCAAGGTAAGTTTCAGGGTCAGCTTAATGTGACTGATAAAGTCACATAATAGATAATCCTGCAACACAAATGGCCAAAGAATATTTGGGGTAGAAATATATTACTGGTGACTCTATTTTAAACCAGCATTTGGGAAGTGAGCTATTGAGTGTTGATGACCTCTACTGATTGTAGTCTTTGGACTGAATTACGTTGAGTGGCTCCATTCATCTCCATAGATAATGTCACAGGTGGTCCCTGGCTCTGCTTACTGGAGGCTTTTCAGACTCATCTGTCCTCCTAACATGTTTAGTTCTATGTGTAGACATAGTGCCTTGGAACAACTTCTCATCTTTCTTCCTGACCCCTTTGAGCTTGATTCTGTCTGTGAGTAGTTTATTTGGCATTGAGTTGCCCTCCTCCATGAATGTTATCCTTCCCCTCTGCCTAGGCTTCTTGCTGCACAGGGTGGGCTGACCCCACCTCACTCCTCACCCAGAAGAGTCTCCCAGGACCTCAGCCAAGGCAGTACTTTGTCCTTTCTTATTCTTAAAGAGGAGCTTGGAATTTTCTCAATAGTGTAATTCACAATCGTTAATATGTCTGAAAAGATGATATCACAATGATTTCCTCTAGGTTTTTGTGAGAGGAGAAAGATATCACCTTTGGACTAATAACATATAATTGGATTTTTTTTTTTTTTTTTGAGACAGAGTGACACTCTGTCACCCAGGCTAGAGTGTAGTGGCATGATCACAGCTCATTGCAGCCTCCATCTCCTGGGCTCAGGTGATCCTTCCACCTCAGCCTCCCAAGTTAGTTGGGACTACAGGTGCATGCCACCATACCTGGTTACTTTTTTTGAAGTTTTGTAGAGACAAGGTCTGACTATGTTGCCTAGGCTGGTCTTGAACTCCTGGGCTCAAGTGATCCTCCTGCCTCAGCCTCCCAGACTGTTGGGAATATGGGTGTGAGCCACTGTGCCTGGCCCCAGATATTTCTGAAGAATAACTCTTAACATGTAAAAAGGAAATCTTTTAAATTAAAATCTTTCAACTTAGTTACAAGTTTTAAAGGAGAGGTGCTCAATCTGTCTAATTCTACTGTGGCTTTTATCGTACTCCAGTGTTTTGTTATGTTCCTGTCTATATCCAAAGAGGGACAGAAAATTTTATCATTGTCTTATATCAGGTAAAAGTAAAACATGGGTCAAATATTTTCCTAAGTATACATCTCTTCATACATCATGGATAGCATATCTCTGAAGTGAGCTTGGGCCTAGTTGCCTAGAAAAATATTATGAAGTCACATAATAATGAGTCAAGTAAGACAGGTTTAAAAATCATGATTTATTTCCCGTAAAAGAATCTTTAACAAGGCAAATTTCTCAAGAAATGGTAGCAGAGTCTGAGAAGCGTGGCTGAGAAAAGAAGTGATTTCATGTCTAAGAAGACTCTCAAATCATACAAATGTCCTTTTAAAACTTCACATCCTAGAATGTCAATTGTGGAAAGATCATTTACTATCTGTCACTTGCTATTAGATGTCTTTCTCACTTACTGGATTTAATCTTCACAACGGTCCAGAGGTAGTAGATATTCTTCTGTTATGCAGATCAGAGTAACATCTCAGAGAGGTTAATTACTACATGCTGTATCACTCAGTCTGTTAGTGGCGGAACAGAAACTGAAAATCATGTTTGCTTGAGTACAAAGTTCATAATATTTCCATAACACAATATTACCTCAAAATTGCCTTAAGAGCCTAAAAATGTACTTATTTCTTATGCCTTAACCTCATTTCCTGTTCTTATTTACTGCACTTTGCATTAAAATAAAATCTCATTTCTGATATTTATCTTAGTTGTTTTATACTAGTGTAACATGACTATACTTCAAAGTAAGTAATTACTTTTATATTTGCCATAATGTGTGTGTCACTAGCAGTCAAAGAAAACATCAATTTTAATACTATCTGCACTTTGCATGAACCATTGTTAACTAAATTAATACATTCACATTTATTCCATAATGTTTTCAGGTCACAATACTTAATGTACTTTTCAAACACAATGTAGCAAGCTATAAAATAGAGCACAATTATATTGAATGAGTTATAGTATCTAAAAGCAGGATCTGTCAAAGTGTCAAATAAGAAAAAGAAATGAAGCCACATATACAAGGCAAAAATCATTTATCCTTTATTAATCTGAGAAACGAGTACTGTGAAGTCCATAACATACCTTTGGAGAAAAATTTGCATTATCTTTGGTGACTTATTGATAAAATTGTAAATATTGATGTTTAAAAATTAAAAATGAAATTTCTTTCCTTTATAGGCTACAAATCTTGAATTTGGCTCACTGGGAAAATACTAGTTGAGGATTACCACGTAATACTTCTTAATTCGGATCATCAACATATTTTCCAGTCGTCAAACTAAAGTTAGTTTTATCTGATGCTAGAATATCTCAATGTTGTTGAATACAATGATTTTTTTTTTCTGGAAAAATCTTGATTAGATCTGCTGAAAAAAGACACAGTCGATTACTTTTGTAAGGTACTGAAATATTAGAAGAAAACATTCTGCTTTTTCAAAAGCATTTGTTATAAGTTGTAATCAAAAGTTTTAATTGAAAGCCATGTTTTGATGGTTTATTATGAGATTTTGCTGCATCAGTGATAGACATTAAGTTCAAATGAAACAAGTGCCTTTGATTCTCTAAAATATATGCATAGTAATAGTCCTTTAGTGATAATCAAGAAGTTTTTATTTAACAGTTTTTTATCTGATTAGTCTAATTCCTTTTTCTTAGAATTGTTTCTTTATCTAAAATACGAGTGCCGGTTGTTGACTGGGGGAGCTTTATCCTCCGTATTCATTTCCTAGGACCACCATAACAAATTACCACAAACTTGGTGGTTTAAAATAACAGAAATGTATTCTCACAGTTCTGGATGCTTGAAGTATGAAAGAAGGTGTAGAACTGGCTGTATTCTCTCCGAAGTCTCCAGGGGAGAATTCTTCCTCGCCTCTTATAGCTTCTGATGGTTCCAAAGAATGACTTGTGGCTGTATCACTCCAATCTCTATCTCTCCCTTCATACGACCTTCTCCCTTTCTCCCTGTGTCTGTCACCTGTGTGTTGCCTATAAGGACAGTGGCCATTGGATTTAAGGCTCACCTGAATAATCCAGCAGAATCTCATCTTGAGTTTCTTAATCACATCTGCAAAGACCTTTTCTTTAAATAAGGTTATATCCACAGGTTCTAAGAGTTAGAAAATAGAAATGTCTTCAATCCACTAAACAAACTCAATGTTCAAGAACGGGCTTTGGGGTCTGAAAGCTGCAGAATAAAATGCTTGCTCAACCACCCTTTAGCTGTGTAATATTTGGCAAGTATATTGTATATATTTGGAAACTATACTGACCATGAGTTGATGAACATAAGAATTTTGGTATTAATTGATAATTGGCCCTCTTGCCTGCTAAAATGAGTATCTTTTGACCATCCATATTCTACGTGGTCACTGAGTTGATATCTCTTTATAATTTGGTACTAATGACCACTCTCTTCTTCTTGAGCATCTTTATTGCTTTAGCTTCTTTCTTAAAAAATTTAATGATGATTATTGTTGTTATTATTTTTATTTTAGAGATGGGGTCTTGCTATGTTGCCCAGCCTGGCTTCAAACTCCTGGGCTCAAGTGATCCTCTTGCCTCAGCCTTCTGAGCAGGTGGGACTATTGGTATGTACTAGTGTACCTGTTTTTAACTGTCTTAGCTTCTAAAATAGTGCACTTTCCTCATTCTTTTACTGCTACTTTGACTGTTCTTTCCCTGTCTTGTGCTCTTTTCCTGCCCCTTAAATATTAGTTTCCAAGGTTTCTAACATAGGCCTCTTTTTCAATTATCCTATATACTTTCTCCAGATGACTTAACCTATTTTCAGAACGTCAATTGACAACTGATTGCTGATGATTGAGATATCTATATCTCCTAATCAAATATTTCCCTTCAGCTAGAAACCTGTATGCAACTGCCTCCTAGGCTTCCATACTTAGATGTCCCACTTCTAAGTCTTCATATTCAAATTCAAAGCTAAACCATAACTTTTTTTTACATCTAGAAATCTATACCTTCTTTGTAGACTACTGTTATTCTCTAGCCATCCTGATTGACCAGTTGTTCCCTAAATGTGTCATGTTCTTTTGCCCCTTCTTTATCCTTATCCACACTTTTCTTTCAGTTTGTAATTCTCCTTCTCATCTTATGAACACCTGTTTATTTTTTAAGACTTAACTCAAACATCGCTTTATCCTTTTTTTTTTTTTTTTTTTTCTGAGATGGAGTTTCGCTCTCGTTGCCCAGGCTGGAGTGCAATGGCGCGATCTCGGCTCACAGCAACCTCCACCTCCCTGGTTCAAGCCATTCTCCTGACTCAGCCTCCAGAGTAGCTGGGATTACAGGCATGCACCACCACGCCCGGCTAATTCTGTATATTTTTAGTAGAGACGGGGTTTCTCCATGTTGGTCAGGTTGGTCTCAAACTCCAGACCTCAGGTGATCCGCCCACCTCGGCCTCCCAAAGTGCTGGGATTACAGGCGTGAGCCACCGTGCCCGGCCCACTTTATCCTTAAGATGACCATTTGCTCTTTGCTTTATATCCCTATTGAATCTCATACCTGTTTCCATTATACAAAAAGGCATTTTCGAGGGCTTTTCCTCCCCATTCAACTATGAGCTCCATGAAAGGTAGGTGACCATGCTCCATTTATCTTTGTAACCTTCCTTTTCAGAATAGCATCTGACACATTGCCCTCAATAAACGTTTATTAAAATGGTTTCTTACGCCCACTAAAAGGACATCTTGCTATTATTATTATTTGTGGTTAGCTTATTCTTAAAGACATTTAATGATAGTAATAATGGTTAACATTTATTGATAACATACTTATCATCAAAATTCTGAAGTTGTGTATGTTTCTCTTGCATTTAGAGTTTACGGAAGCAGCAAAACAGGCTGTAAAAGATAGATTATAAAATTAAAGGGAGTTTGATTTGAAAGGAATTAGACAATGAGCCATTTTAAAGTATTTTTAAAAAAAATTCTGGCAACTAGATGTGTAAATAAAAATAGATATAAATAAATGAGTATAAATAAAAATAGAGAATTTTGTAGTTCCCACATTTCTGGAGGATAAATTAAATAAATAGTAAAGACACATATGCTCTTAAAAATGGTCATGACTCATATATTTTAGTGAACTGTTTTTTTCTGTAGATTTCTTAAAGCAGGCATAAAAGTTTTCATTCTGAAGAGGTTCTTTAGTTATCATTTACCATGTTTAAGTCAATTAATTGCTGTATTTCAGAACATTCATCTTTATTTTTCATGGAGGTTTTGTCATACTCCAGTCTGAAACAGTTACATAGAAACTGCGTGGACTAAAATGCTGAAATGTGTGTAAATCATTGTATGCTAATTAAATTCAGTATTATTGGACTCTTTTAGTTTCCTTTTTTACAGGAAGCTATCTAAAGATAATTGATGGACAAGTTACATTTGGGGACACACTTAGGGCTATGTGCACTATAAAAATAGAAAAACTTGGGAGTCCTAAGGCTGAATTTGTAAGAAAAAATGCTGTCATTGATATTTGAAAAGTTTGTACATTTAAAGTATTTTATCTTAGTAAAATTATACATAAAATGAGAGTGTCTCAAACATCTTTGTACTGATAAGGATGGTCTTTTATGTTAGGCAAGTGATCACTTCCGACGATAGGAGTCTATAGCCTGCTGAGCACACAGCATGGTGCGGTGCCATCTTGTGTGGTGGTTAAAAACAGAGGGTCAGATTGGCAACTCAGTTTTCTCATCTATAAAATGGGGAATGCATTGACACTTATCTAAAGTGTCATTGTAAGGAAACAATGAAATCATCTGTATGGAGTCCCCGGGCCCTGTTATAATCACTCAAAGTTAACTTTTATTCTATTACTATAATTCATGGTATCATTTTCATAGGTGATTTCTGGAATGCTAACCCATTGCTTTTTTAATGCCTCCTTAATGGCATTTCTTTCAAGAAAACCTGATAATATTTAGGCATTAAATTGAACTATGGCTGCCAGGCCTCAATTATAATGGGATTTCACTATGTTTTAGTGCCAATCCTCATTCTAGATGAGGTTGGGGAAGGGCTTAGATGGCCAAGGAAGGGAATATTCAAGCTGTTTCCTTTTCAAAGGTAATAAATCTAAACCTTCCCAAAACAATTCACGCAGACATTTTAAAACAATATTGTGATGTCCATTGTGTAAAATAAGCTATCTAGTAAATAGACTGTCATTCTTTCAATTTTCTGTATTGTAAAACTTCCTTTGGTGTATGTGTGTTTTTCTAAATTTTGTTTTGTTTTGTTTAAAGATGGGGTCTCACTATATTGCCCAGGCAGGTTTCAAACTCCTGAGCTCAAGCGATCCTCCTACCTCAGCCTCTTGAGTAGCTGGGATTACAGGAATGTGTCACTGCACTTGGCTCTGTCCTAAGTTGAAAAATATATGAAACTTAGAACAGACTTCTATTCTGCTTTTTAATTTGTGGGATATTTGTAAGAACAAGGTCTCTGGCACAGCATGAAGAGCTGCCGTCACATTCCCACATCTCTGTGAATCACTCCTGGCTGTGCCTTCCACCTTCCCATCATAAGTGCTTGCTCTTCTTTGATGGTTCTGGTTTCTCTCTTCTGTAACTATTCAGATCATTTGTAACAGACAGTCTTTCAGCTTAATTCTGATTCCACCCTTAGACAATCTGTCTTTCAGTTTTTCCCTTTTTGGCTTTATGTTCCTTCAGACAGGGACCTTGGGATGTTCTACCCCATCCTAAGGTCCCTGTCTAGAGACAGGGAGTCAGTAAGTACCCTGAATCTTGGGTATTCCCAGAGTAGAGATTGTCCTGGAGAACTAAAAGCTCAAGTTCATTTTTCTGCAGAGTGACCCAAGGTTATGTAAATAAGGCATCCAGAGATCATTTAGGCTCTGAACCAGGACTAAAGTAGAGCTGACCCTGGGAGGCTGGATACCTTTCCTGGTTGAGGTTACAAGAGTGTTACAAATACCACAGATGTTGCAGGTTGACCCAGCCTGAGTCTACTCTTTTGAGCCTTGGTTTGGAACTGTACAAGCCTCTTCATATGGTGAAACAAAGTTTTGATGGATATTTCTGAAGATCAAACTTGCAAGAGTTGAGGAAATATTTAAAGATGATGCTCTTGCTGAATGTTTGTTTTTTCCTCCAAACTTTAGACCAATTTGTCCTGAGCCATTCAATTTTTCTGACCTAGTCCTCTTGCAGCCAAAAAAACCTCATGGCTTAGAAGTATACTTTTAGAGAATTACCCAGCCCAACTGTGCTGGCTTTAAAAAAAAGTGCAGGGATCTCATTATGTTGTTGCTCTGAACTCTTAGGCTTAAGCAATTGTCCTGCCTCAGCCTCCTGAGTAGCTGGGCCTACAGGCACTTTTCACCACATCCATCTTGTAACTGGCTTATGTGGGATATGAAGCTATGCTCTCCTAAGGCAATACCAATGCCACAGTGAACAACTCTGTAGCCCCAGTCTAAATTACAATGGTCAATTACTTAACTGGCAGATCCTTTTGGAATATACTATTTACTCCAAATATTGCATTGGTAGGTTTTGAGGGAAATACAGGAAAATGTATGGATAATTCTTATGCTTGAACAGATTACTACCTATGAGAAGTCAGAGAAACAATGAAACAATTACATGATAAAACATGTATTTGTGTTCCAAGGAGTCAAATAGGGAAGTAATTATTTCAGGTTGGTGGCAAATAGTTTCATGGGTGAGTCAGATTCAAGCTGAGGCTTGAATACTTTAGACAGTTTGCAGATATGGAAAACATTGGATGGGGAATATTCAGAAAAATTCACACTGCATATGGAACAAAGCTGTCTATGTTATTCCCATGCTTAAAACCCTTTCATGTTTTTTAGTTGTGCTTCTCAAACTTGAATGCATGCATACAATTAAACTGATGACCTTGTTAATTGCTGATTCAGATTCAGTGGGTCTGCAGTGGAGTCTGATATTCCAAATTTCTAAGTTTGCTGCTGCTGGACCTCAGATGAAACTTTGAAAGACAAAGATCTGTACTAGGGCTGAGGAGTGGGGCAAACTATAGCCTATGAGCCAAATCTAGCCAGCCAAATGTTTTGAAATTTTATTGGAACACGGACACATCTCTTTGTTTACCTATCATCTATAACTACTTTTGCACTATGATGGCAGCATTACATATTGTCACAGACACCTTATGGCCCACAAATTCTAACATATTTACTATCTTATTCTTTACAAAAAAGATTTGCCTACCTCTGGTATATACTGTAGGATAAAATCCAAATACTTTAGGATTGTATATAAGGACCAGGAAAATTTGTTTTCAGCCTATCTGCCGAATCTCTCTGCTCTGCCTCCTTAGATACTTGAGTGCCATATAATCAGCTTGCTGTTATGCAAATCCTACTGGTCTTTCTCATTTCTTTGCAAGAGTATATCACCTGAAAATATGTTGAGCACATGATTTGACAATTAAACTAAAATTACTTAACAATAAGCTTGCCCCATTTTTCCCAATTTTGCAGACACCCTGTAGAATATTACACATTCACATGCATGCTGATGAGTGAGAAGTGGGTGACATAGGAACAATAGCTGTGGGTAAAAGACAGTCGAAAATTTTCTGAAGCTTTTTCTTTTTTAATGGCAAGCTTTAAATTACACTCATATAGATTTGAATTCTTATCCTGAATGAATGTATCTGAATATTATTAAAAAATACTTAGTGCTGTATTTTCTCCAATTACGTTTCCCACAGGATTTCATGAAGTATTACATAGCACACAAACACACACACACCCCTTGGAAAATGCTGGTTAAACATATTTCTTTACTGTAGATATTCTCTGAGCCTTTATATAATAATATGCATTATGAATCTGAAAGAAAGGGATTTAATATGCAGGCCTTCTTAAGATTATTCAGTTATGAAATCTTTTTGATGTGGGATATTATTTATCCTACAGTAGTATTTTATGGGATACCAACTGAACAATGTTTTACTAGTGTATAAATGTGCCACATATATGTATATATCACAGAATTATTATAAGATTACTATAGAAGATAGCTTTATATTCACAGTTCTCTGAATGGTAGCCTGGCTCTACTGCTCAATAAATACGTGATCTTGGGTAAACTTAATCTCTTGCAAATCAGTATTTCATATATAAAATAGATACAATAATTCTGGTAGTCACTATATTAAAAGTTGTTAGACTTAAATAAGATAGTGTGAGTAAGATGCTTAGCCTGGCACCTAGCACATTATAACCAGTAGTAAATATTGTCTTTTATTATACTACAATTATTAGCACAATTTGCATCTACTGTTCAATTTTATCACCACCAATGTTTGCCATTACCCTTCTGCTTTCCTGCCTTGAGCTGTGACCCAAAGTCATTGCCTAGGATTTACTCTCAAAAAGCCTAGAAATTACATACTGGCTTATTATATACTGATATAGATTGGTGTGATAAAATCAGCTTTAATGTTAAACTGGAAACATTTTATCCTATACTTTCAAAATACTATGTTTCAGTACATTTTAGCAATATTTTTCACATAATTGTGGTGTATAGTAGCTAAGCATATTATTGTAGTCATCTTAGATCCATGAGGCAAAAAAGGATTTCTCATTTCATGAAAAGATGACAAGGATATTTCTTAATCTGTTCCCTGAAATTTATCATTGTAAAATGACACAGAGAACCACACATTTCCAGAAAAGCTAGAAAAAACTTCTTGTTATTTATATAGTTGATATTGTCAGAATGCTAGGGAGTAAAGAAATCCTAGGAAAAATATAGATAGTCTTTCCTGTGGTATAGGCCTCTGGGAATTGAAAAAAAACTTATATTTATGTAGTTCTTAATACCAATATCAATAACAGAGAATAATAGTTTGTATTATATCTTTCAAAACTCTTGTACTAATCTCATTGGATCATCAACTATATCTCTGTCCTAGGTAACACTAGGTTTTGAAAATTGTACATGGATTTATTCTGAAAATTCCTAGATATGGGGAATATATATGCTCAAAAAAATTTTAAACTAAGTTCTACTCTTTTGGCTTTCTCAAAATGATATTTATCTATTGTTGTTCAAATTTAGAGAGAAATGCAAGTCAATAATTAGCATAAGAGTACTATAAACCCTCAAATCTAGATGACCAAAACTACAACTCCTAAATGAAAAATAGAGAGCAGTTAAAATCTATAGTTAAATAATTACAAATGAATTATTTACATCTTTTATAAATAACTGAAACCTAAATATAATTTTTTTCTTGTTTTCTATCCTGTGTATCATATTGATGTTTCCAGACTTGAGGATACTCATTTTCTTTGGAATCACAGTAACAACAAACTGGGTCAAGAAGGAATGGCTGCCAAGGAGCCATCTGTAAATCCTGTCTTTGGCAAACCCTTTGACCTCTCTGAAGCCTAGTTTCTCTAATATCAACTGTATGTTCTCCACAACATTATGATGAGGATTAAAAACTTAGTGTATGTGAAACAGAAATGAAAACCTTGGAACACAACATAAATCTTAAGGACTGTTGTGGATCATAAACCATCTGAATTGTTTTTGATCCCAAATTTTTGCAAGCCTGGCTGCTTCTCATCATTTAGGTTTTAACTTAAATGTCATCTCCTCAGAGAGGGCTTCCCTGAAGAATTAATCGAAAGTAGAAATCAGAGCCTCTGCCAGTTACTCCCTGCCTGCTACCTTTTTTATACCACTCATAACAATATAAAATTAACCTACTTTTCATTTATGTGTGGTTTTTTTTTTTTCCCAGTCCCCCGATACTGTAATGTGAGCTCCATGTTGCAGGGACTGTTGTTTATTGTATTCATTGCTGACTCCCATTCTCTGGGACATTGCAATGAAGACATGTGCTCTCCACAATCACTCTTGTTTTCACGCATGTCTATTCATATGAATTTAGGTCTTGCAGCTATGTCAAGCTGAACACTTTCATATAACTTTCTATGTGTTCAGTAACAAAAGGTCTTCAGAAAGCAACTCATTCCTGATGGCAAATCTTATCCAAAAGAGAATGGTTCTCTCTGTGGAGTCATTTTCATGTCAGATAAAGTCTCTTTACTCAAAATGCTGCACAGAATTCATCTATCTCCAGAGAACCAGAAGACAGATTTATTTTTTGATTCTCCCTGTCAAAGTGGTTAAGATAATTTAGACTGCTGTTTTTGGCATTTCTCTCTCCAGAGTCAGCCTGGAGTTATGATCGTAAAGCTAGAAGGTCAGTCTGGCACTCCCAAATGGCATGACTGTACTTCGTAGGTTAAAAGACTGGGTAGTTTATTCCTATTAAGCGAAGACTCCCAACGTTTATGTGATTAGAGAGCTAAAATATCCATGCCTTATAACAGGAATGAATCAAAACCCGTGGTTATAGCCACTTGTGAAGTCTCACACATCTAGCCTCCCACTGGTCTCTGTGGTTTTATGGCTAGTGCTCTTCCCATCATTCCTTCATCCCAGCCACATTGGCCTCCTTGCTGTTCCTATAATCCTCCAAGAGGCCCTAACCCCAGGAAAACACAAGCCTTGCTCCCATTTATCTTCAGGTTTTAGCTCAAATGTCACCTTAGCAGAGACATCTTCCTGACCACCCTGTTTAAAATCACAAAACCTTGCTCTGCACTCTCTACCTCCTTCCTTGTTTCTTTATTGTTTTTTCCATAGCATTTATGACCATCTGACGTACTTCATAATTTACTTCTTAATTTCTTCATTTTGGACAAGGATTTTTATATGTTCACTGCTAGGTACTGTTGGCACATGGTAGGTAAGTACGTAATAAATATTTATTGAATTAATGAATGAAAGAAGAAATTAATGTGCAAAAGAGTAGCATAATTTGAATAATTGAACTTCAAACAATTCATTAAAATTGATTATTTATAGTTCTCCAGAGCTTGAAGCTGGTTGTTAATTAGATTACTGCAAGGAACAAAAACTGTTGGGTTACTCCAGGAATTATCTTAATGGACTGAGGGGGAAGTAAGGAAGAAGAAAAGCAATCTGTGTGGGCATCCAGGAGTTGCTCATGGGAAGGGGATGTCATAGAGACCACTGTTACTGACCTAGTACAGTAGGTCAGTAGGATGCTGTCACTGACCTAGTACAGTAATTCTCAAACTGTAATGATGTATCAGAATCACCCAGGTGCTTATTAAAAACACAGTTAGCCTAGCCTCCTCCTGTCTTAAAGTCAGTAAGTCTCAATGGGCTCCGAAAATGTGCATTTCTAATTGGTTCCTAGGTGATTCTCATGTTGCTAGATCAACCGGGGTCCACACTTTGAGCACCCTGGCCTCATAGTATAAAAGCCACTTCATTGACCTTGGGCCACTCTAGACCTATTGACTTAGTTTTTTCAGCTGTGCCTCCATATTCCTTTTGGATCCTCCGACACCAGTTCTCATTTTTAATTTCAAGTCTTTGGCTCCTTATGAAATTTAGTGCCTTGTGACTTCTGCTTTTTACTTTTGCTCTCTGTGACTCCTGCCTTTGTGCCACTTTGTGCCTGCTGACTATGTCTGTGTCTCTTATTTGCATTCCCCTGGGGAGTTTAAGTGTTGGATTAGATATTCTAATCACTCTTCAGTAGAGAGTATCTCTGTAAGGTACAGCTCTCATAACAGATATCTCACATAGGTCCTCTTGGTCATGTAAAGATGCTGCACTAGCAAGGTCACATGGAATAAAACATAATTACCTATGTGTAAGGCACCTCATGTATCTTTATTCAGATGGGGTCTGTGAGAATGAAGGCACTTGTGGGTGTTCAGAAAGGACCACTGTATATGACATACAACTGGCATGGAGCATCTGCTTCAAGGTGATTAAGGATAGTTTGAAATGGCGTAGAAAAGAATGCCTGTATTTTACTGCCAAATTCACAATAAATTAGACTAGTGATACGGGACAAATTTTTGTTTTTCTCTGGGCCTGCATTTCCTCAGTGACAATGTGAGAGGATTTGGCATGATGAGCTTTAAGTTCCTTTCCATATGCAGTGTGCCATGACTTGATGAATCTAATTCATTAGCGTACATACACAGGTACATGACTAGGTCAGCCTCTATTTCTAGGTTGCTATGATCTAATTTTTTACAGTTGAACATTATATTCTGTTTTCTTTAAGTGCATGGATATAGAACCAACTTGCCTGGGTTTGAATTCTGGTTTTGCCACTTACTAGCCATATGACCTTGGGCAAATTATTTTGTCTGAGTGTCAATTTTCTCATCCATAAAATGAGGATTATAGTAATTTTCTTATAGTTTTGTTGGATTGAATGAGTTATTACATGTGAAACTATAATAGAAATGAAATTCTAAAGTGTTTAAAAGGCTATCTGGCACATAGGAAAGACTATATAAGTGTCTTAAATTATTTTAACACATTTTTATCAGGGCTATGTTTTGTCTAATTTAGTAAACATGACTATAATATGCATGGGAATTTTACTTAGAATTGTGCTTAGAATATGAAGCCATCAGAAATTCTTTCATTAAAATGATGCTGTAATGAACCCTCTTTGAAGTATTGTAGAAATACCTACATTCTTTTAAAATATATTTCTGGAAGCAAAGAGGCACATGACATTTTGTGAAAGACTAAACTATAAGAACACACAACATATCAATCTTTGCCAAAGGCTAGGAGTTTGTGGGGAGTGGGAGAATTTTCTACAAATGAGCATAGTGAAGCTTTTACAAGTGATAACAAGATGCTATATCTTGTGGTGATGGCTACGTGATTGAATATGTTTGTAAAACTCATATACAAAAGAATAATAAATTGTATTGTATCTGTATTATAGCTAAGTAAACCCCACTTTTACAAAGTGCTTCTCAGTGCAATATTTTTATATGTGAGATTTTGTAAACCACACAGCTGTGTATAATTCTGTCCTTGCACATTGCTTCCCTAAACTTGCATTTATTCTTATTTCAAGTGTCTGAAATATAACCTAAAATGTCAGTGGAAACACTGCCGCAGCTGCTTCCATCTTTGCAGGACCTCATATTTGCATTTTCAGTATGTGACCCCTTCTCATTAATACTTGCAACCTCCCTCTCACCTCTGTAACTCACATGCCATTCTCTACTCCACCTTTATTGCTGCCTACTCATTTCTCCTGGGGCTCCTTAGGCTTTCACTCACTCAGAAAATGGAAGCAAAGAGGCCTATGTGACATTTGTTGATGCTATTGTGAGTGGTATTGTTTTATAAATTGTTGCTACTGCTTTTCTGAAAAAAAAAAAAGTTTTTGGAAGGCAGATCTCATACTCATTAACCTAACCAAACTTATTTAATATTTTGCAGATTATTTTTGGTATTTAAAAAATCTTATTCAAGAAACTTCTAGCTTGCTGAGTACTTTTCAATGATTATAAATGGATATCAAATTCTACAGAACTATTTTTCTCTGTATTTGCTAAGATCACATGACTTTATTTTGTTAATGTGTGATGAATTATACAAATTGATATTCAAGTGTTAAAACAACCTTGCTTTCTTGGTATAAATCTATTTATTCATTATGTTTTATTAATTTTCTGTTTGTTGAATTTGATTTGTTAACATCTTGGTTAGAATTTTTGTGTCTATGTTCATGGATGAGGTTGGACTTGATTTTCTTTCCTTGTGGTTTTCTTGTTAGGTTGTAGTATCAAGATTATAATTGCTTTATAAAACAAACGGAATGGTGCTTACCCTTTTTCCATATTCTAAGAGTTTTTGTAAGATTGGGGATAACTATTACTATTTCTTACAGGTTTAGAAAAATTCACCAGGGAAGCTATCTTGGCCTAGAGTTTTATTTAAGACAGGTTTTAAATTATGGATTTAATTTCTTTAATAATCACAGGACTATTTATATTTAAAAATTCTACTTTATTCATATTGCTAGATATTCTTTATTATAATTTGTTCATATTACTTAAATTTTCAATATTTTATCAGCATAAAGTCGTTCATAACATGCTCATACATTTTTAGTGTCTAAAGAATCTGTAGTAATATTTCCTTGGTTTTATGTGTTGTCTCTTTTGGATATTTTTGATTATTTTATTCAACAGATTTACCAACTTATTAGTCTTTTTAAGTAATCAAGCTGTGACTTTGTCAATTCCCTCTAATATGTATTTTTAAAATTTTTAAATTTTTACTCTTATCTTTCTTCTTTTTTCCTTGAGTTTATTTTTGCTTTTATTCTCTCAATCGTGAGATAGATGCTTAGTTCATTAATTTTCAACCCTTCTTTTCTAATCTATGCATTTAACGCTATAAATTTTCTTTAACACTTCTTTATCTGCATCACATAAATATTAATATTTAGTTCATTATATAATTTTGTTATAATTCAGATAAAAGTGTTTTCTAATTGTTATTGTAATTCATTATTTGATGCATGGGTAATTTAGTATTTTTTAATTTCCAAATATATAGGTCTTTTCTAGTAATCTTTTTGTTATTGATTTCTAGCTTAACTTCACTGAAGCCAGATTTTAATTTTTTGAAATTTGCCTTATGATTCAGCATAAGTCCAATGTTGATAAGCAATATGCCTGAAAATAATGTTTTCTGCAGTTGTTAGTTTTTGTGTCCTATATATATTTGTTTGTCCATATTTATTATTCATGTTTTTCAAATCTTTCATATCTTTTCTGATCCTGTCTCTTCTTGTATCATCAAATACTGAGGCAGATGTGTTAAATTTTTATGTTAATTGTGGATTCTTAAATGTATTTGCAGTTCTGCCAGTAGTGCTGGAAATTTTAAAATGTTACATCTTCTTGATGAATTGAACATTTTATTATAAACTATCTTCATCTATAGTAATTTTTTTTGCCTTAAAGTATACATGGTCTAATACTTAAATACACTTGCTTTTTCTTGATTAGTGTTTGCTGGCATATAATTTTTCATTTTGTTAATTTTAATTGTTACATATCTTTATATTTTACATCTCTGTCTTATAAACAACCTTCAGCTGTGTGTGTGCATGTGTATGTATGTATGTGTTATCCAGTATGAAAATCTTTTCAGAAGTTTTAAAAAGTTTTTAATGAAAAATTTCATCACACAGAATGTTAGCATTTTCACATATATATGCACCCATATTTGTGGTTAAATATATATTATTAATATTTTATTTCAACCCATTTCAAAATAATGATTGTCAACATCATGCTACTTCATCCTTAATTATTCTATTCACATCCCAAGAATAAGGACATTTTCTTACTTAAGCATAATATTATTATCACATCTAAAAAATGTGACTCATTTTTCTGATATTATCTATATCTAGTCCATATTCAAATTTCTGCCAGTGTCCCCAAAACTCTTTCATAGCTTTCTTTTCAAATCAGAATTCAATCAATATCCATACTTTATTTGGTTATTATGTCTTTTTATTATTTTGTCTTTAAAATCTAGAACAACCTCTCCCAACCTAGCTTTTCTATTATGATGTTGAGTTTTTTTAAGAGATAAGGCTACTTATAGATTTGTCTGTGATATTATTTGACTTGTTTCTCTAACTCCTATATTTTGTGTTAACCTGGAAGTTAAAGGGTTGGTTAGATTCCTGTTAAGTATTCCACTGTCACCCAGATTTTATTGTTTTTGTTGAAAAGTCAGTTGTCAGTCTACTATTGCTCTTTTTAGAATACTGGGTTTCAACCAGGTGTGATTTTTTTCCCCCAATGAATATTTGATTGTCTGGAGACATTTTCAGTTGCTTCAAGTTGGTGGGTGGGTATGTTACTGACATTGGGTGCACAGAAGACAGGAATTCTGCTAAACATCTCACAATCCCTCTACAACAAGTAATTATCCAGTCTCAAATGTCAATCATGTTGAGGTTGAGAAACTCTGGCTTTAGAGTAACATGTCCTTTCTCTTTAGATTCTCTTAAGGTATCTTTTTTCACTTTTTTAAAAAATAGTTTCACTGCAATATAGCTATGTGTTTTGTTTTGTCTTTGTTGTTAATACTGCTCAGGGTTTGTTGGCCTTTTTGAATGTGTGTATTGATGTCCACCATTAGTTTTGAAATATTCTCAGCCATTACCTCTTTAAATATTGCTTTTGCTTAGATATGGATCTAGGTTTTTGGGGACCTAAAACTTTTACAATTTCATAATAACATTTAAGAATACAAAGTTGATATGGTTTAGCTGTGTTCCCACCCAAATCTCATCTTGAATTGTAGCTCCCATAATTCCCACTTGTGGAAGGGACCTGGTGGGAGGTAACTGAATCATGGGGGCAGGTTTTTACTGGGCTGTTCTCGTGATAGTGTATAAGTCTCATGAGATCTGATGGCTTTATAAAGGGCAGTTTCCTTGAACATGCTTCTCTTGCCTGCTGCCATGATCGTGGGGCCTCCACAGCCATGTGGAACTGTGAGTCCATTAAACCTCTTTTCCTTTATAGATTACCCAGTGTTGGGTGTTTCTTCACAGCAGTAAGAAAATGGACTAACACAAAAGTTAGGTACAAATCATATTACTTATTTAGTATAATACAATAAATCTCAGCAAATTCCAAAAAAATTCAAAATACAACAAAGACCTTTTAAAAATTCAAAATATACTAATTAATTAACTGCCTGACTTTGGTATAATATTTTTCCTCTGTCCATTTTGGATTTTTTAGTTACCAATTTGGTAAGCCACTTTCTGTTTATGTAACAAAAATTTGGTAATAGCATTTCTGATTGAGAGAGTAAAAAATAAATGTAGTCTTTCCTTCTGCATGATTAATCAAAATTTTTTAATGTATTATTAATATTTTAGAAAAGTTTATTTTAGCTTCAATAAGAGAAATAGAGATGAGAAAGTGGAGCCAGAACCAATGATTCTAACAAGCTCCTTTGAGTAGTTTTACCATAAACGGAAACAAAGAAGTGAGGGGCACAAGATAACAGGAATTATTTTTGTTTTTTGTTTGTTTGTTTGTTTGCTTTGAGATGGAAGATATTAGAAAACAGTTATATGCCAATGGTAATAATTAAGTAGACAGGTAAGGAGCTCAGAATTATTTCAGGAATGTAACCCTTACACAGTTGTCTATGAATACTTTACAGAAATGGTATTTAATGCACAAATAGAGGGGTTGGCCTTATCTGGCATGTTAAACTTGAGATCCACTGACTTCCCAGAAACCCATAAACAGGATACGTACAGTTTGTGAACTTGAATGAGCAAACTACGACATTTTTATTTTTACTAATCTCTGACTGAAATTTAACATTTCCTTCAATATTAAATGTTGTCAACAAATCAGAATTAGGTACTAATACAAATATTTTCAAATCACATAACAACTGTTGGAAATATCTTAAAATATCATTTACTATGCTCACTACATTAAAACAGATAGCTATTAGGCTGCCTGCTAAGTCAGTTTATATTATACATTAATAAAGAAGTACATATATTACTAAATCACAGCTTAAAAATATTTAGATAACGGAATTTAAATAAAATCAGTCTCCTTTGTATCCATAGGCATTTCATTTTATGCATTGAGAACATTATTCTGAAAAGAGTCCACAGGCTTCACCAGATTGCTAAAGGGTATCAAGGCACACAGAAAGGTTACGAACACACATTGTAACAGGAAAGAAGGCACAGAATATGGGCACAGAGGCAGGGACTTTAGCAGATTTGGTGCTGGAAATTGGAGGTTTTTTTCCCTAATTGCTTCTAGTTTTCTGAGAGAAATAGAAGGCAAGGTCATCAGGAGGAAGTGAGAACGGCGGGGGTGGGGGGTGGGGTGGCGGTGGCAAGCGAGATAATGAAAATTTGAGTATAAGAAAGAAGGTGTGAATTAGTTTTCTAAGAGAAGAAGAAAGCTAATTTACTACGAGAATGAAGCAAGATTGCAGGGCAGTACTGAGTAGCCACTTGTATTTTCAAAGTTGAATAGAGACCCCAGTTGTGAGTCTTCCTTCTGCTCTGTTCAGCTGCTTGTATACAGGTGCAGAGTAAGTAAAGAGTTGAGCTAACCAGAGTTAGGCCTTTACTAAAGAGGAAGGTGAGCAGAGCATGGTGGCTCACCGCTATAATCCCAGCACTTTGGGATGCCGAGGTAGGTGGATCGCTTGAGCTCAGGAGTTCAAGACCAGCCTAGGCAACATGGTGAAACCTCTTCTCTACAAAAATACAAAAATTAGCCAGGCATGATGGCTCATACCTGTAGTCCCAGATGCTTGGGAGGCTAAGGTGGGAAGATTGCTTGAGCCCAGGAGGTCAAGGCTGCAGTAAGCTGAGATAGTGCCACTGCACTTCAGCCTGGGTGACAAAGTGAGACCCTGTCTCAAAAGAAAAAAAAAAAAATGGAAGGTGAAGGAAGAGAGGAGAGAGGGGAGAGAGGAGTAAGGGAATTCATGGTTTAAGTAGGAGAGTGATACTAGAGATAAACTTTCAATATTTGCTGGATAAAGAGAAAAAAAAGAACATGAAGGGTGTTATGGTCAGTGGTGGAGTCAAAGGATACTGTTTTCATAAAGTACATGAGATGTGTAAAATTAGGGATACTACAGGAAATAAAATGGAGAGAGGAGGTTAAGTAGAGAGAGTGAATGAAAAAATTCTAATAAAAATTGACACAAATTATGATTTAAGGGAGTGAGACACAAGTGAATATTTTAAGGAGGTTTATAAGATTAAACTCTAAAATTTCGACATTGTAATCAGCCCCACTTTTCTCAACTCTCTCCTTTCTAAGTTTCCACACCTAACACTCCACATGGGCTCTTCTCATTCCTCTGCCTCTAAGTCCTCCTGAAGCGTGTAGTTAGCTTCCTTTTATATTTGAAAGAACCATGCTCCCTTAGTGTTATAAAATAGTAATAATGCCAATTAGTGAAACAGTGGCTGAGAATTAACATGTACTTTGTGTTTGCTCTATGCTCTGAAATATCTGGCACTTTTTGTCTCTTTTACACACAATCCTGTGAAATATAGATGAATAGGCTTATTTTGAAGAGGGAAATGAACAAGATTAGGGAAGTATAGGCAGCACCTGATGGCGCTGGAAATTTTAAAAAGTTCTGAGTATAAACACTTGATTTTCTCATGCTGTCACCTAGGCCAAGAGTCATATTTATACCATTTGTAGGATATATTTATATGCAAGCCTAAGTCTTGCCATTGATGGCTCCCTGGGGAAATCCACTCATGCTATTAGATAACATGAAACATAAACCTTATTTAATTTTGTTGTAGTTTATTAAATCAGCTGGCAATTTTTCTTTCTTTTTTTCCTCCTGTATCCATCTTCCCTGAACCAGCAATTTCAATTTTAAGCAAATCTGAGACTATCCAAACAAAGTGTTCCCCAAATCCTCCTGACCTGAATATCTGAAAGTTATTTTTGTCATTTTCTCTCTGTTATTGTTCTCAGTGTTATAATTTCTATAAGTTGTAATTTGTTTCCATATAGTGCCAAAATGACCAGTTTATTATGAAATCCATGGAGGGAAAATAAAATTAACTGTTTAATCATATGTATACCTAGCATGAGGTAGAGCAACTAGATATTTAAAGATCATTGGGTTGATTTTGCACTTCCTGCATTCGACGTATTTATTATGAGGTTAAAGCAGTTAATAGAAAACATTTGGTTTGGCAGAAAATATTTATTCATTCATCCATGCATCAAACTACCCATTTATCCATTCATACATATATTCATTCAGAAATGTCTAATGAATCCACACCGGGGACTGTGCTAGACACTGCGGATACAATGCACGACAGACTCGATTTTGTCTTCACAAAATATATTATATATTTCATGACAGACAAAGAGAACAAAGACAACTAAAGTGGGAGGGGCTTTAGAGAGTGCTTCCAGACAGCGTTCAGCTTGGAAGGACTCATGCCTTCTTACAGCCTAAACTGATTCATATGTACGGAAAGAATGCTGTACAAGAAAGAGCCCTGTTTCTAAAATCGCCCTAAGCCATGGAGCATCATTAGAGATCACTAGAGGACTTGGGAAAATGACTGGGACCACTCCTGCCTATTTGCATTCAGTGGCTCTAAGGTGGATGTAAGGTAGGCCCAACACTGGTCTAAGCAGGACCTTGTGAGTGTTAAGGACTAGCATCCCTCTGATGAGTGTGACTACTTGGACAGTATGGCTTGGCCATCAGATGACATGCTGAGATAGGCAGTCCCATGCCAGGGTGCGAGCTTGGCGAACGGTGCACAGGATGGATTTTAGCCCTCTTTCCTCCTTTGCTCAGACACGTTTATGCAAGGCCCAACAGCAGAGCTGGGTCTAGACATCTGAAAACCGCTCTCCATTTGTCATTGTTAGTTGTGTCATTGTTCTAAATGTTCTCCTTAAGTGAATGTTGCCCATAGGCCTCTGCCTCTCTAATCATTGTACGCATATGTGTCAGAGAACCTGAACTTCTGAGTAATTTTTTCCATTAAATATGTTCCATTGTTGTACAGAATTGAGCCCTCCCTGTCACCTTGTATCTATATGATGCCAAGTAATGACATAAAATAAATGGTACCTACATGTACACCATTTGTGTATTTCTAAGCTCCAGATTTTCTTAAAGTTTTCATGGTTGGATAAAATTAATAGCTTTAATTTAATGATACTAATTAAAAAGTTAGTAAATTTGTTGCCTGTTCTGACTGATCACTGTTTACTGAGTTCTGCATGGAATGATTTGATAGTTGGTGATCACAAACACAAGGGTATGAAAAAAATGACTTTGTCGGCCAAATTAAGGACTAGCAAAGTTTTGATTACAAATTTAATAATATCTTTATGTTTTTGGAATTTTCCAGGCTATTTCTAGGTGGAGTGGTATAAATTTGCCAAATGTTAGTAATGAACAATGCCAGAAAGAGCAACATAGAACTGATCAGGGAAATATTACATAGGTCCAACTAGGGCATCGGATAAAAATGGCTTTGAATTCTCAGGGAAAAAAAAATCAAGGATAATTACTTTTTAGACATTTGGCCTATTCTGGAGTTCTCTGTCCAAGACAAAGGCAATGATTTTGGAAAGTAAATGTAACAGCTCAAAATAGCTCTGTTTTTAAAGATCTAAATGTAATAGTCATATTTAGAAAGGAGAGATAGATTTTGCACTTTAGAAAATGAAACCAGAATTCTAAATAGGAAGAACAAAGGAGAGAAAAAATGTGCAGAAGGCAGTTAAATAACCCTGATTAAAGTTACTGGAAGAATCTCAGGTCATAATTAAAAATGAATTTATACCTGAAATAGATCCTACATTTTGAGCATCAAATAGCTATAAGCTCACATTCTTTTTCCTAAACTTTTGATATTGGTTTTTATTTTTTCACTTTACAAAATATTGATGTACATTTTCTGGGGATAAATGAAATAATACTTTCATTTTACTCCCTATTCTCCAACTAGAATTTAATTTTTTAAATGCCAGTGTCAAGGACTTGATATTTATGAAAAAATACAAAGCCACCTATAATTTCTTTACTTTTTAATTTATATTTTCAAAGAGATTAAAGTATTAAAGTAGATAAATGTTATTTCTCTAGAAAAATTTTTATACAAAAAAGACTAATATTTATTATTCAAGTGATTAGAATTTCCGTTTTAAAAAATAGAATTATCCCCAGATTAATGGTGAGGTTACAAAGAATGGGCTGGCTTCCCTATACCATAGTAGTTTTATAAAGGCCGGCAAATGAAGGAGTGTCTATTTAAAGATGACAATTTAAAATTCAAGACCAAATATGCCATCTGAAAAACAGCCATTGTTCTTTCAATGGAGATTATTGACTATTTACTGCATGCCAGGCTCTGCGAATATCAACATGAAGCGGGGAAATACCAGTGACTGCTCGTTACAGTAGTTCTCAAATGTCAGATAATTGTTTAACTCAAAACTAGAGTGACAGAGGTCTCTGTGGATCATATGAAACATAGTTTCATTATGAAAATGTTTTAACAACCCCATTAAAAAGTGGGCAAAGGACATGAATAAACACTTCTCAAAAGAAGACATACATGCAGCCAATAAGCATATGAAAAAAAGTTCAACATCACCGATCATTAGAGAAATGTAAATCAAAACCATAATGAGATACCATCTCACACCAGTCAGAATGGTTATTATTAAAACTAGTTCAACCATTGTGGAAGTCAGTGTGGCGATTCCTCAGGGATCTAGAACTAGAAATACCATTTGACCCAGCCATCCCATTACTGGGTATATACCCAAAGGACTATAAATCATGCTGCTATAAAGACACATGCACACGTATGTTTATTGCAGCACTATTCACAATAGCAAAGACTTGGAACCAACCCAAATGTCCAACAATGATAGACTGGATTAAGAAAATGTGGCACATACACACCATGGAATACTATGCAGCCATAAAAAATGATGAGTTCATGTCCTTTGTAGGGACATGGATGAAATTGGAAATCATCATTCTCAGCAAACTATGGCAAGGACAAAAAACCAAACACCACATGTTCTCACTCATAGATGGGAATTGAACAATGAGAACACATGGACACAGGAAGGGGAACATCACACTCTGGGGACTGTTGTGGGGTGGGGGAAGGGGGGAGGGATAGTATTAGGAGATATACCTAATACCAAATGATGAGTTAATGGGTGCAGCACACCAGCATGGCACATGTATACATATGTAACTAACCTGCACATTGTGCACATGTACCCTAAAACTTAAAGTATAATAATAAAAAAAAAGTCAAAAAATAACAGATGCTGGTGAGGTTGTGGAGAAAAAGGAACACTTACATGCTGTTGGTGGGAGTGTAAATTTGTTCAATCGTTGTAGAAGACAGTGTGGTGATTCCTCAAAGACATAAAGGCAGAAATACCATTTGACCCAGCAATTCCATCACTGGGTATATACCCAAAGGAATATAAATCATTCTATTCTAAAGACACATGCAGGCATATGTTCATTGCGACTATTTACAATAGCAAAGACATGAAATCAATCTAAATGCCCATCTATAATAGACTGGATTAAGAAAATGTGGTACATATACACCATGGAATACTATGCAGCCATAAAAAGAATGAGATGATGTCCTTTGCAGGGACATGGATGGAGCTGGAGGGCATTATCTTTAGCAAACTAAATGTAGAAACACAGAGCCAGATACTGCATGTTCTCACTAAGTGGGAGCTAAATGATGAGAACACATGGACACAGAAAGGGGAACAACACACACTGGACCTATCAGGGGATGGAGGGTGGGAGGAGGGAGAGGGTCAGGAAAAACAACTAATGGGTACTAGGCTTAATACCTGGGTGATGAAATAATCTGCACAATAAACACCATGACACACGTTTACCTATGTAACACACCTGTACATATACCCTTGAACTTAAAAAAATCTGAAAAAAGAAAGTGTTTTAAATATCTACAATAATAAAATATATTATTTCTCTTAGAGCAATTACATATTATATTGAATTTAAAAACATGTTAGTTTAAAATAAAACACAGATATAGAAAAACTTCACAAACAAATAGATAACTTTTTGAGATATTGAAGTAAACATCCATACAATCATCAGCAAGTTAAGAAACTTTGCCAGCGTCCCCAGATGTCCCTTCATGTGTGTGGCCCCCACAAAGGCTACCACTATCTCAACTTCTAAAGTAATAACTTTGCCTTGTTTACAGTGTTATCACTGAGGTGTGAATCTCTAGTTTAAAATATAGTTTAGTCTTGTCATTAAAAAATTTTATTTGAAATGTTTTTTAAGTCTCTTTTAATTCACAGTTTCCCCTTTCACCCCTCTACCCCTCTAACATTACATCTGCTAAAAGACCCAGGACATTTGACCTGCAGAGTTTCCCACTGTCTAGATTTGGCTGACTGCATTTTCATGGCAAACTTCATCATGTACCTCTGTCCTTTGCAAATTGGTACCTGGAACCAGAGGCTCAATTAAATTCAGATTGGATCCTTTTGGCAAGACTCTAGGTGGTGGTGTGTTCCTTCAGATGGCATGCGGTGTCTGCTCATCTCTCATGTTAGAGGTGGTAATGGCAGTGATCTTTGAGTGGTCTCTTGAGTCCTTTCAACATGATCCTAGACATTTGTGAGAACTTGCTCACTATACGGTTTGACAAGATTTCCTAGTTCATTACATGCCTTTCCTGTCCCAAGCCTGGAATCAACCAATTCTTCAAGAAGCTCTGGTTTCTTTTATTAGGAAATGACAATTGAAGACTACAATCTGGGTGCAAGGAATGTTAATTGCTACTGAGTAGGTCACTACTTCTTGGCGTCTTAGTGGGCAGAAAACATATATAATTTTAAAGAGAGAATTCCTCATGACTTCATCCTGATATGTGCAATTCAAATTCAGGACTACAGGATTTCTACATAGCTTCATTTAAATTACACAAATAATCAGTCTCAAATGCACAGGAGATAGTAAAATCTGAATAGCCCATTTATTTTATCTTACATCATACACACATCTGTCTTAAAATAACACTACTGTACTATCATCCTCAACATAATTAACAAGAACAATTAAAATATTGTTTGCATATGCTCTTCCCACGCTCTACCGTTTTTTAGAGTTATATTCTATCTACATTGCCTGAACTTAATACCATTGCATACTGCAGTCTTTCTTTAAACCTCATTTAGTCTTAGTTCTAAAAGTAACTATATATTCTACATGTTTAATTCTCTTCAGTCATTTGGTTTTCTGATGTTCATTCTCTACTACATTCCTTACCAAGGACTTATGGAAACAATATTTACTGCAGTCTTTCATGTTGATAACTGTTTGTATCTAAAATCATAAAATCATTGGTTCATATTTTCTTTCCTAGAATATCCTCCATTTTGTTGTGAAAGAAAGTGTGACTCTTGAAAAGTCTGCTAACGATGTAATATCTACAAGTCATTTGCTATTTTTGTTTCTTTTGCCTAGATGGCCAAATATTTTTTTTGTTTTCGTTAAAATCCAGTAGTTTTATTTGAATATGACTTGGTATTAGTTTTTCTAAGTTGTATACGGACTCAAGTATATGGACTTCTCTTTCAATATATAGATTCAAATTTATTTTATTTAAGGAAAGTTTTTTTTGAATTATAGGTTTTGTATTGGTTCTGTTCTCTTTGGTTTTTCTCTTCAGAGACTCCTTTTATTTGTATATATTTTAAAAACCTATCTTAAATATTTATCACTTTCTCTCAAATTTTTAAATATCTTCATCATGTTTGTTTAAATTTTTTTCTCCTTTTTTCACCATGTATTTCTCATAAGTGATTTTCTCATCATCTCAGTGTTCACTGACTTTTTTATTCCCTCTGGTTTAATCTTCATTTTATGTGTTTTTTTTTTTTGAGTACTGTCATTTTATCTCTGAGGTTTTCTGATACTGATTTATATTATTCTTTCACTGTTCTTTTATAGTTTTATTAATATCTTTTAGCTCTGTATAAAATAGGATACTGTTTTGAACACTTTTTTTCAATTTGTTTTCTTATAGTAGCTTCATATGAGATTTAACCTCAATACTTAATCTTGGCTCATTTTTAAGATAAATTAGTTTTCCTGCCATTTTGGAAGGAGGTTTTGCTCAGATATGTTTTGTATCTGAGCTCATTCTTCACAGTGCTCATTCTTTTCCTGTTTTTGCATAGTGTTCAAAAATATGGCGACTTGCTTTCTGAGATTTCTTGACTCTCTTCCCCTTCCCCACTTTCATCTGGAGCTCCTATTTTCTTCATCTCTGTTACACATACTCTACTTGATTTTTATTCTGCTCCCAGGAGTTGCTACTGAGTGTGAGCAGTATCTGAAGAGGAAGCCATGGCAAGTCAATTGCAAGAGTACACATGGTTTAGTGGCCAGACTTTTAACTAATCCTTTAGCTCCCCTCATGGACTCCTTGTATTCATCCAACTTTGAGTTAAGCAAAACCTCTCCAAATTTTAAGTTATTTCCAAGTCAGCCCACTGTGCTTTCCAGTGATTAGTTTTTGGCTCTTTCGGAATTTTCTTATTATCAGGTCCATCAGATGCTCTGTTTCTCTCCTGTGTGTTTCCTGCTCAAATGCTAATATCATCAAGTCTTGTGGCTGTACAGTCTGTCTTCACCTGCTTGTGTTTTCGACATTCCTGAGGATAGTCTGTTCCCTAATGTTGCCATGGTTGATTCTATGTAGTTTTTCTATCTATTTCTATGTAGGAATTCAAAGCTTGTTGCTGCTACCATCCTCCCAGAATCCCTTTTACTAGATTTTGATATAGATAATTTGTAGCCGATACCAAGTTTAATAAAAATGTGTGAAAGAAAACAATGACTGAAAACATTGTATCCATTACTTATTACTATCTTACAAATGTGGAAAAATTAGATTTTACTTGATTTATATGAGCAAAGCCCCTTTAGATATTGATCTCAGAAAGCCTCTGTGGTGCTGAGACAGTAATATGGGGAAAATTCCTGCAGAAAAGGGAATATATTAAAACTGCCCATGGTAAATGATTTATCTATAGTCAGAGAAATAGACTTCACGGTATTTTTGTCATGCAATGATCACAAAAATAAGATAATTTAATTATCTGAAGAGAACCTACTTCTGAATTTTTTTTTTCAAACTGCATTTCCAACTTAGTTGTGGAATACTTTGAAGGGAAAAGTAGAAAAGCTATTTCAAGGTTGTTATTTTAAAAATAAAGATGCCAGTGAAGATAGTATACTCTGGGGGGTTGAAATTGCCTTGCTGGATGAGTAAATTGAATAGCTTGGAAGGTAACATCATCCCTTTCAGGTCATGAGAACATCATTCCGGAAGTCAGTGATATTACTACTAAAGATATTATCCCTCTTATGAGTTAATGCAGTTTCTAGGGTAGGCAGGCAGAGTGCAATAAGCAAAAGTGTTCAACATATAATATCTGGTCCCAGTCCAGGTGTTATCATTTATGATCTGTGTAATCTTAGGGAAGATATTTAATGTTTTTAAGCCTTGAATTCATTACCTGTAAATATACATTATATGAGACGATTTAAAACAATGATAAATATTATTATGTAAATACTAATTTCATTTACAGGAAATGGCTTAACACACCAAAACTGCACCTCTTCCTCAATTTCCAATCTGTAGTAAGTGGCATAGTACCTGTCCAATTGCCCAGACCAGAAGTATTGAATATTTCTCTCCTCCTTACTGGCAGCCAACCAATCACTAGGGCCTACAAAATCTACTTTGTCAATATCTCTCAACTACACTTATTTCTTACCACACCCACCATCACTACTCTAGTTCAGGTCACCATTCTTTTTCATCTGAATTATTGCTAGAACACCCTTCAGAATTTCCCTGCCTACAAGTCTAACATTTTCCAAGAACAGTATCCATGGCATAGCCAGAGTGATCATTCAAATGTGCACAAGATAATGAAATTTTCTCCCTTAAGCTCCCTTAAATAATTATTATTATATTCAGACAAATTTCCAACTTTTTAATATGACTTGTCAGGAACCCACCTACCTGGCCCATTTGTTACCATTTATAGTCCTTACTCACTTCTCTGCAGCCCAGCAAACTAGTTTCAGTTTCCCGAAGGTGCTGTGCATTCCTTTGCCTCAGTGCCCTTGTCTGTAATATATTTATAGCTCTTCCATGTCTCTCATGGCCAACTGCGTCTTCCCTGAATCCCAAAATCTGGGTTGGTTGTCCCTCTTATGTATTCCCACTACTTATTTTGCATTATACTCGTACTTATTTTGCATCATACTTGTCTGTTTAGTTTAATGCTTTTCTCATTTGAGTTCAATATCCAAGAAGTCAAATACCATAAAATATTCACCATTGTATCTTTTGTTTCTCATAATAATATTTGCTGGATTAATGATTTACCACATTGTTCCCAGAAAACTCACACTTTGTAGATGTAATGGTGAGCTGCCTTTCAGACTTGATTAGGAGGTTATTCTGAACTAAACCACAAAAAACAGCTCCAATTTTTAAATATAGAAACACTCACATTCTGTCCCACTCTTATATAGATGTTCAAATTATGTTCTAATAGTGTAAAAAAATCTCTAATGGACATAATGATAATCTTCTCAATAATGCTTTTATTTCCTTTCTAGATATTAAGAAGAAGCTGTACACATTAATATGTGTGCCTCAGGGAGGAGGGGCCAAGATGGCTGAAAGGAACAGCTCTGGTCTGCAGCTCCCTACGAGACCAATGCAGAAGGCGGGTGATTTCTGCATTTCCAACTGGGGTATCCAGTTCATCTCACTGGGACTGGTTAGGCAGTGGGTACAAACCATGGAGGGTCCAGAAGCAGAGTGGGGAGTTGCTTCACCCGGAAAGTGCAAGGAGCTGGGGGATCTCCCTTCCCTAGCCAAGGGAAGCCATTGAGGGACTGTGGTACCTGGCCTGGATACTACACTTTTCCCATGGTTTTCGCAATTTGCAGATCAGGAGATTCCCTCATGTTCCTAAACCACCAGGCCCATGGGTTTCAAGCACAAAACTGGGCAGCTATTTGGGCAGATACCAAGCTAGCTGCAGGAATTCTTTTGTACCCCAGTGGCACCTGAAATCCCAGTGAGACAGAACCATTCACTCCCCTGGAAAGGGGGCTGAAGCCAGGGAGCCAAGTGGTCTTGCTCAGCAGGTGCCGCTCCCGCGGAGCCCAGCAAATTAAGAACCACTGGCTTGAAATTCTCACTGTCAGCACAGCAGTCTGAAGGCGACCCGGGACGATTGAGCTTGGTGGGGGAAGGGGCATCTGCCATTACTGAGGCTTGAGTAGGCGGTTTTCTCCTGACAGTGCTAAGGAAGCCTGGGAGGTTTGGACTGGCTGGGCAGAATTCACCACAGCGTGGCAAAGCGGCTGTGGCCAGACTGCTTCTCTAGATTCCTCCTCACTGGGCAGGGTATCTCTGAAGGAAAGGCAGCTGCCTCAGTCAGGGCCTTACAGATAAAGCTCTCATTTCCCTGGGATAGAGCACCTGGGGGAAGGGGCAGCTGTGGGTACAGCTTAAGTGGATTTAATCTTTCCTGCCTGCGGGCTCTGAAGAGGGCAGCTGATCCTCACAAGGGTGAATCTCCCAGCACAGCGCTCGAGCTCTGCTAAGGGACAGATTGCCTCTTTAAGTGGGTCCCCAACCCCCGTGACTCCTGACTGGGAGAGACCTCCCAACAAGGGTCGACAGACCCTTCATACAGGAGAGCTCTGGCTGGCATCAAGCCAGTACCCCTCTGGGATGAAGCTTCCAGAGAAGGAGCAGGCAGCAATCTTTGCTGTTCTGCAGCCTCCACTGGTGATACCCAGGTGAACAGGATCTGGAGTGGACCCTCCAGCAAACTGCAGCAGACCTGCAGAAGAGGGGCCCAACTGTTAGAAGATAAACTAACAAACAGAAAGCAACAACAGCATTATCAGCAAAAAGGATCATCACACAAAAACCCCATTCAAAGACCATCAGCCTCAAAGATCAAAGATAGGTAAATCCACTAAGATGAGGAAAAAACAGCAAAAACGCTGAGAATTCCAAAAACCAGAATGCCTCTTCTTCTCCAAATGATTGCAACTCCTCTCCAGCAAGGGCACAAAACTGAATAGAGAATGAGATTGTTGAATTCACAGGAGTAGGCTTCAGAAGGTGGGTAATAACAAACTCCTCTGAGCTAAAGGAGCATGTTCTAACCCAATGGAAGGAAGCTAAGAACCCAGATAAAAGGTTGCAGGAACTCCTAACTAGAATAACCAGTTTAGAGAGGAACATAAATGACCTGATGGAGCTGAAAGACACAGCACAAGAACTTTGTGAAGCACATGCAAGTATCAATAGCTGAATTGATCAAGTAGAAGAAAGGATATCTGAGATTGAAGATCAGCTTACTGAAATAAGGCATGAAGACAAGATTAGAGAAAAAGAATGAAAAGGAACAAACAAAGCCTCCAAGAAATATGGGACTATGTGAAAAGACTGAACCTACGTTTGATTGGTGTACCTGAAAGTGATGTGGAGAAGGGAACCAAGTTGAAAAACACACTTCAGGATATTATCCAGAACTTCCCCAACCTACCAAGACAGGCCAACATTCAAATTCAGGAAATACAGAGAACACCACTAAGATACTCCTCGAGAAGGGCAACCCCAAGACACATAGCATCAGATTCTGCAAGGTTGAAATGAAGGAAAAAATGTTAAAGGCAGCCAGAGAGAAAGGTCAGGTTACCTACAAAGGGAAGCCCACTAGACTAACAGTGGATCTCTCTGCAGAAACCCTACAAGCCAGAAGAGAGTGGGGGCCAATATTCAACAGTCTTAAAGAAAAGAATTTTCAACCGCAAATTTCATATCAAGCTGAACTAAGTTTCATAACCAAAGGAGAAATAAAACCTTTTCCAGATGAGCAAATGCTGAGTGATTTTGTCACCACCAGACCTGCCTTATAAGAGCTCCTGAAGGAAGCACTAAATATGGAAAGGAAAAACCAATACCAGTCACTGCAGAAACACATCAAAATATAAAGACCAATGACACTTTGAAGAAACTGCATCGACTATTGTGCAAAATAACCAGCTAGCATCACGATGACAGGATCAAATTCACATATAACAATATTAACCTTAAATGTAAATGGGCTAGATGCCCCAATTAAAGATACAGCTTGGCAAATTGGATAAAGAGTCAAGACCCATCAGCGTGCTGTATTCGGGAGACCCATCTCATGTGCAAAGACACACATAAGCTCAAAATAAAGGGATGGAGGAATAGCAAATGGAAAGAAAAAAAAAAAAAGCAGAGGTTGCAATCCTGGTCTCTGAACCAATAAAAATAAAAAAAGACAAAGGGCATTACATAATGGTAAAGGGATGAATGCAACAAGTAGAGCTAACTATCCTAAATATATATTCACCCAATACAGGAGCACCCAGATTCATAAAACAAGTTCTTAGAGGCCTACAAAGAGACTTGGACTCCCACACAATAATACTGGGAGACTTCAAAACTCCACTGTCAATATTAGACACATCAACAGGACAGAAAATAAACAAGGATATTCAGGACTTGAACTCAACTCTGGACCAAGCCTAATAGACATCTACAGAACTCTCCACCCCAAATCAACAGAATATACGTTCTTCTCAGCACTATATAGCACTTATTCTAAAATCAACCACATAATTGGAAGTAAAACACTCCTCAACAAATGCAAAAGAACAGAAATCATAACAGTATCTCAGACCACAGTGCAATCAAATTAGAACTCAGATGAAGAAATTCACTCAAAACTGCACAACTACATGGAAATTGATCAACCTGCTCCTGAATGACTACTGGGTAAATAATGAAATTAAGGCAGAAAAAAATAAGTTCTTTGAAACCAATGAGAACAAAGAGACAACGTACCAGAATCTCTGGGACACAGGTAAAGCAGTGTTGAGGGAAATTTATAGCACTAAATGCCCATATCAGAAACCTGGAAAGACCTGAAATCAACAACCTAATATCGCAATTAAAAGAACTAGAGAAGCAAGAGCAAACAAATTCAAAAGCTAGCAGAACACAAGAATAACTAAGATCAGAGCAGAACTGAAGGAGATAGAGACAAGAAAAATCCTTCAAAAAATCACTGAATCCAGGAGCTGGTTTTTTGAAAAGATTAACAAAGTAGACAGACTGCTAGCTAGACTAATAAAGAAGAAAAGAAAGAAGCATCAAATAGAAACAATAAAAAATGATAAAGGGGATATCACTGTTGATCCCACAGAAATACAAACTACCATCAAAGAATACTGTAAACACCTCTACTCAAATAACTAGAAAATCTAGAAAAAATGGATAAATTCCTGGACACATACACTCTCCCAATATTAAACCAGGAAGAAGTTGAATCCCTGAATGGACCAATAACAAGTTCTGAAATTGAGGCAGTAATTAACAGCTTACCAACCAAAAAAAAAAATAAAATGCCTAGAACCAGATGGATTCACAGCCGAATTCTAACAGAGGTACAAAGAAGAGCTGGTACCATTCCTGCTGAAACTATTCCAAACAATAGAAAAAGAGAGACTCCTCCCTAACTCATTTTATGAGGCCAGCATCATCCTAATAATAAAACCTGGCAAAGACACAACAAAAAAGAAAATTTTAGGCCAATATTCCTCGTAAACATTGCTGCGAAAATCCTCAGTATAATACTGGCAAACCGAATCCAGCAGCACATCAAAAAGCTTATCCACCACAATCAAGCCGACTTCATCCCTGGCATGCAAGGGTGGTTCCATGTACAAAAATCAGTAAACATAATTCATCATATAAACAGAACCAGTGACAAAACCACGATTATCTTAATAGATGCAGAAAAGGCCTTCTATAAAATTCAACATCCTTTATGCTAAAAAGTATCAATAAACTAGGCATTAATGGAACATATTTCAAAATAATAAGAGCTATTTATGACAAACCCATAGCCAATATCATACTGAATGGGCAAAAGCTGGAAACATTCCCTTTGAAAACCAGCACAAGACAAGGATGTCCTCTCTCACCACTCCTATTCAACATAGTATTGGAAGTTCTGGCCAGGGCAATCAGGCAAGAGAAAGAAATAAAGAGTATTCAAATAGGAAAAGAGGAAGTCAAATTATCTCTGTTTGCAGATGACATGATTGTATATTTAGAAAACCCCATCGTCTCAGCCCCAAAACTCCTTAAGCTGATAAGCAACTTCAGCAAAGTTTCAGAATACAAAATCAATGTGCAAAAATAAAAAGCATTCCTATACAATAATAATTAAGCAGAGAGCCAAACCATGAGTGAACTCCCATTCACATTTTCTACAAAGAGAATAAAATACCTAGGAATACAACTTACAAGGGACATGAAGGACCTCTTCAAGGAGAACTACAAACCACTGCTCAAGGAAATAAGAGAGGACACAAACAAATTGAAAACAATTCCATGCTCATGGATAGGAAGAATCAATATCGTGAAAATGGCCATACTGCCCAAAGTAATTTATAGATTCAATGCTATTCCCATCAAGCTACCATTCACTTTCTTTGCAGAATTAGAAAAAAAACTACCTTAAATTTCATATGGAACCCAAAAAAGAGCCCGTATAGCCAAGACGATCCTGAGCAAAAAGAACAAACTAGAGGCACTATGCTACCTGATTTCAAACTATACTACAAGACTACAGTAACAAAAACAGCACGATACTGGTACCAAAACAAATATAAGAAACAATGGAACAAAACAGAGGCCTCAGAAATAACACCACACATCTACAACCATCTGATCTTCAAAAAACCTGACAAAAACAAGAAATGGGGAAAGGACTCCCTATTTAATAAATGGTGCTGGGAAAACTGGCTAGCCATATGCAGAAAACAAAAAATGGACCCCTTCCTTACACCTCATACAAAAATTAACTCAAGATAGATTAAAGACTTAAATGTAAAACCTAAAATCATAAAACCCTAGAGGAAAACCTAAGCAATACCATTCAGGATATAGGCATGGGCTAAGACTTCATGACTAAAATACCAAAAGCAATTGAAACAAAAGCCAAAATTGACAAATGGGATCTAATTAAACTAAAGAGCTTCTGTCAGCAAAAGAAATTATTATCAGAGTGAACAGGCAACCTACAGAATTGGAGAAAATTTTTGCAATCTATCCATCTAACAAAGGGCTAATATCCAGAATCTACAAGGAACAAGAAACAAACAACCCCATCAAAAAGTGGATGAAGGATAAGAACAGACACTTCTCAAAAGAAGACATTGATGAAGTCAACAAACTTGAAAAAAAGCTCATCATCACTGGTCATTAGAAAAATGCAAATCAAAACCACAATGAGATACCATCTCACTCCAGTTAGAATGGCGATCATTAAAATGTCAGGAAACAACAGATGCTGGTGAGGCTGTGAAGAAATAGGAGTGTAAATTAGTTTAACCATTGTGGAAGACAGTGTGGGTATTCCTCAAGGATCTGGAACTGGAAATACCATTTGACCCAGCAATCCCATTACTGGGTATATACCCAAAGGATTAAAAGTCATTCTACTGTAAAGACACATGCACATGTATGTTTATTGCAGCACTACTTACAATAGCAAAGACTTGGAACCAACCCAAATGCCCATAAATGATAGCCTGGATAAAAAAAATGTGTCACATACACACCATGGAATACTATGCAGCCATAAAAAAGAATGAATTCATGTCCTTTTCAGGGACATGGATGAAGCCGGAAACCATCATTCTCAGCAAACTAACACAGGAACAGGAAACCAAACATTGTACATTCTCACTCATAAGCGGCAGTTGAACGATGAGAACATATGAACATAGGGAGGGGAACATCACACACCAGAGCCTGTGGGAGGGTGGGGGGTAAGAGGAGGGAGAGCATTAGGACAAATACATAATGCATGTGGGGCTTAAAACCTAGATGACCAGTTGATAGGTGCAGCAAACCACCATGGCACATGTATACCTATGTAACAAATCTACATGTTCTGAACATGTATCCCAGAACTTAAAGTAAAATAAAATTTAAAATATATATGTGTGTATGTGTGTGTGTGTGTGTGTATGTGTGTGTGTGTGTGTTTGTTTGTGCCTCATAACTCTCTGTGGTGCTTGTTGTTGTTCTTTCAGACGTGTAATACCTGAAATTCTTGAAAATACATAACCATCCAGGAATCACTCTTTTGAGTCCTAGTCTTACTGTTATGAATTGAATGTGTGTGTGTGTCATATGTTGAAGCCCCAAATTCATATGTTGAAGCTGTAACCCCTAGTATAATGGTATTTGAGAATGGAGCCTCTGGGAGGTAATTAGGTTTAGATAAGTTCATAAAGATGGTGTTATGGTTTGGCTGTGTCCCCACCCAGATCTCATCTTGAATTGTAGTTCCCATAATCACTATGTGTTATGGGAGAGACCTGGTGGAAGGTAACTGAATCATGGGGGTGGTTCCCCCTATGCTGCTATTCTTATGATAGTAAGTTCTCATGAGATCTGATGGTTTTATAGGAGGCTTTTCCCCGCTTCACTCCACACTTCTCCTTGCTGCTGCCATGTGAAGAAAGACGTGTTTGCTTCCCCTTCCGCCACGATTGTAAGTTTCCTGTGGTCTCCCCAGCCATGCTGAACTGTGAGTCAATTAAACCCCTTTCCTTTATAAATTACCCAATCTTGGGTATGTCTTTTTTAGCAGCATGCAAACGGGCTAATACAGGTCAGTTCTCTGTGATGGGATTAGTGTATTTATAAGGAAAAGGAGAGAACAGAGTTCTCAGTCTCTCTCTCTCTCTCTGTCTTTCTCTGCCATGTGAGGACACAGTGAGAAGGCACCCAACTGGGAAATAGGAAGAGAAGGCCCACACTGGGGAACTGAATCAGTCAGTACCTTGATATTGAATTTGTCAGCCTTCAGAACTGTGTGAAATAAATTTCTGTTGCTTAAGCCACCTAGTTTATGGTATTCTGTTATGCAGCTCCAGTTGACTAATACATTTACTAAACAACAATTAATCATCATTGTATTCGTCTAAATGGAGGGCTAAATGAAATATATATGTTTATAAACAGAAAACCAATGTGAACTTTTGGTACTTCTAAGGTGAGAAACTCCAAAATGTTAAAAATCAATTAAACTAACCATTCATTCAAAACATTTGTGCCAGTTCCCTACAAAAAGGGAAAAAGAATACTCCTTCTCATAGGGAAAACTTTTATTGACTGTGTTGTGCTCTGGGCCTTTTTCTCCATTTCTCATATCCCCAAATTCCCCTTTTCAGGAATATAGCAATACATTTGATTAGATGAAAGCCTACCTAATGTCATCATTCTTGTTGTATGGCTCTCAGTACAGACAGTATTTTTCCACTTGTTTCATAACAACATGTTTTTCCCATTATTGGGATATCTGAGAGCACAGAAAATAAAAAGAAATTATTACCTTGTATACTACCAGAGAAGACTCTAAAGCCTATACTAAAAATGTAATGGATCTTTTTGGTACTGAATTTTTTGAAGAAACTTAGAAGATGATGCACATACGAATATAGATCCTCCACTTTATACTAATGTGTCAGACATTGTATGTGTGTATTGTTTCTGTAGAGATATCATCAAATGAACATCAGTTTGACAAGAAAATAAACATTATCTTTAAAGCAATAGCAATACATTGGTGTTAGTGTTGTACTGATATCCATGGGCTCTGGATAATTTTAAGAACTGAAAGTCAAGGAAGAACTCAGGAGGTTCACAAATGGAAAAGAAAACTGAATTGAGAGGAGTCTTGAATGTTAGGTCAAACTGTCACTAGCTGTGAATCTGAAAAATTCATGAATATATGATTCAGTTTCCTCTCTCATTGAAATGTCATTCCATATAAGAGAGGAAGTCAAATAAAATAAGTCAATGGATATTGAGAGTTAAAAGTTTTAAATTGGTACAGTTTAAGCACTGCTAGAAAACAGAAAAATTGAACTCCTGCTCAGTTACCGGGTAACACCCTTAATGGGACTTCAGTCAACCAGGCACCCTACATGCTTCACACCATGTAGTCTCTCTCTTGAAAATATCTGGTGAAGCAATTTAAAAAATTAATAACATGTACTTAATAACATGTACATTGTAACTGAGACCACAAGGGATTATCCAGAATCACACTGTGTTTATATGTATTAACCTTGTACTTAAACTGATGTTCTATATGCAGTAGATAATATGCAATATAAAGTGTGATGTACAGCAACCATTTACCGGCAAAATGATAATAAACATAGCAAATGCTTTTAGTGCTTTATCTATATCCTTGTCCTTGCCACCTTAGTGCATCCAAGCCTATCTTCTAACTTTCAGCATCTGTATGTCTTTGTCTGAGAGCCTTCTCTCTTGCTAACATAGTCCAGTTTCTCATCTATGTGTTACCTGAAGTAGTCTCCGAGTGCTGGCCTACTAACACCAACACCCTCCTGTGTAGGCAGTCTTCAACATATTACTCACTGGAGTTGATGTATAAATGCCCCAGCTCCCTTGCACATTAAAGAACACTCTGAGACATGCGGTTTACACTGACTCTGAATTTCCCCAGACAGATTAACCTCCAGTTGCCCACCCTTCCCGTTCTCATTTCTCCTCTCCCTTACTAATACTTCCTGTATCTCTCAAATAAATTAATTTTGCATTTGAGCTCTTGCTCAGGTGTTTTTTTCTAGAAGAGCCTAAATTAGGAAAATAAAATTGTTCTCTCTCTCTCTCTCTCTCTATATATATATATACACACACACATACATACATATACACATATATATACATACATAAATATATACATACATATGTACATACATATATATACACATACATACACACACACACACACACACACACACACACACACATATTTCTTTTTGAGATGGAGTCTTGCTTTGTTTCCCAGACTGGAGTGCAGTGGCATGATCTTGGCTTATTGCAACCTCTGCCTCCCAGGTTCAAGCGATTCTCTTACCTCAGCCTCCTGAGTAGCTGGGATTACAGGCGTTCTCCACCATGCCTGGCTAATTTTTGTATTTTTAGTAGACGTGGGGTTTCGCCAGGTTGGCCAGGCTGGTCTCGAACTCCTGACCTCAGGTGATCTACCGGCCTCAGCCTCCCAAAGTGTTGGGATTACAGCCATGACCCACTGCTCCCAGCCAAATTGTATTTTAAGTTATATTAGTATTGATGCTCCTGGAGTCCTCCTCCTTTGCTTTGGGAAGGAGAAGAAGCCCCTCTTCATTCCTACCACTGTGGGGAGGGTAGGTGTGTGGTGATGGGAATAGTCTCTTTTTAAAAACCCTGAAGCACTCAAAAGGGTAGCCTTCTTTCTCTTAGTCCTCCCCTTAAAATATCTTGGGATGTGGGTGGAGTCTAGGTTGTTAGGAAAGTCTTTGAACTGACATTTCTAAGTGGTTCTTGAAAGGAGATGGATGGCATAGCCTGTGGTGGTTCTCTGAGCTCAGAATGTGGGATCTTTACCTAGGCTGCAGGAAAATCCCAGTCAGCCTCCCAGAACAGGTCTCTGGGTTAGGCCCTCTCCAGCACCAGGGTAAGAGGTTCTCAGAGAAATTCACAGGGATGTGGGAAAAACTTGTGGGGACAGAGACAATGGTCTTGGGACAAGGGTGAGCTAGGACAGCTGGGGAATAGAAACACAGGCAAGAGGTAAGGCAGCATCCTCATTGTGTGCCTTAAGGAGGTGTAGAACAGCTTCTTTGTACAGAATTAGGTCCTAGTAAAGCTGTGGGGGAGGAGATTGTTGAATCCTGCATCTTGAATGGTAAGTATTCCCCTGGCTAAGGAGATTGGAGGCTTGGAGAGGAGCAGGGAGGACTCTCGTAGACAGAACGGCATATGCAAAGGCATTGAGAATTAAAATACTTTATGGGTGCACTCTGGGAAAGCATTTCCACAGTCCTTGTTGAGTGACACTGCTGTTATCATTTATGGCATTGTGTATTTTAATTTTTAATTAGCAAATTGAAAAATAGTTCTAGATACCAACAATGACAAGAATTATGACCACTTCTTTAAAACTTGAGTAGTGAAAGATCCTTCTCACAAGAAAAGAAAAAGTTTAAAAATGACTGAACCTGAAAGCTGCCCTGTGATGGCTATTTAAGCCACAGCTTCTCTTCTGGCTTTTCTGACCTTTCCCCAAGACTCGTGGTGATGCCGGTGCTTGTCATCTTCATCATCACTCATCTGTTCTCCCTGTAGGACATCCATGTCCAGATGTCAAGGCAGGGCAGCTGACTGGCAGTGTTAAGATGACTTTTATCTTGTTCTAAATGATGAAGAATTGCTTTAGACAAAATGACTCATCACCTTCTACAGCCTTCCTGCTGACATAGAAAACCTTACATTTCATAAGCCTTTTGACTGGTATCATATGAAAAGGATTGTTCAGCAGTAGGCCATCTTTTTAGTTATTTTTGCTTTTGTTTTCCAGCAAGACACCAGGGATTTCATTTCACAGCTAGCTGGCACACTGAGTGTTAGTTCTTAGGAACGCATTGTTAGGTTTTACAACTCCATGGAACCCTGTTCTTCAGGTAGTTGCTCATCTGTCGAGAATCCAAAAGGAATCGTCACACTGGGGATAACCACCATTCTGTGAGAATGCTAATGTCATCTTGCCACCTGGATTTCTAAACCAGGATTGTGTTTTAATTTTTATTTTACGTGGGCCATCTCTCCTCTAAGTTGGAAATAAATATCCGACAGAAGAGAAAATGATTAAATTATAATCTGTCGCTCTATTGTGTAACAAAAATGATTCAAAAATTTTTCATAGAAAACTTATTATTCTAATTACTATGTTAGTTGAAATCCTTATTCAAAATTGTACAATTATTGATTATTTAGAAATCAATAGAAAAATGGATAGAACTGAAAAGCAAAGAATATTCTTGCCATTTAGAGTTAAAATTATGAAAGAATTGAAAATAGTTGCTTAAGTAGGGTAAGAAATAGGATAGTAAAGAGACAATATTTTTCTCCCACAAGCCTTGTAAAACTATTTGGCTCTAAATTACTTTATGAAAATTTTAAAGGGGCTATAAAGAGATTTGAAAGTTAAGAAGAAAATATTTTTAAAAGTATACATTTGGTTTTTAATTAAAATTATATAAAAATTTAGATTTGTTTAATTTGAGGAGAATTACTTGAGACATGCTAACCTGGGAAGAAGGCAGAAACAACTTTAGCCATCAATAGTATTTAAAACCTGTGAGCAAAACTAGGTCATAATTGAATGACTGCAGAGGATCCAGCCAGCCAGGGAGTGTGTCTGAAATGCATGCTTAGTGATGCTCTTCTAAGGTGACCATTTGAGCCAAAGTCAGAATTCAAAAAAGACCAGAGTTAGGGAATACAAGAGAAAAAGTGAGTCTGGCCAAATACTGGAAACAATACATCTATCAAGTTTATCCAAGCCACCTTATTTTGTTGTTGTTTTGTTTTACTTTAGGCTTTTAGCAGCCTGAAACCAGGTTTTTAATTTCTGTCTCTAATGATAACCAGAAAAGAGGGATGAGAAAGGGGATTTACTGGCCCAACCAGAAACAGAAACTAAGAATCCATGACTATATTCTGTCTCTTGGATACCCCTGATTCTAGATTTTTATATGTTGTTGCCGTCATATTTTTGGGTGAGCTTGTCCTATTTAAGGACTCCAGAAAGAAGGGGCTCCTATTTTCCTTCTAACTTGCATTTCGAGTTTACTGTTAGAAATATTTGATGAGTTATAGTACTTGCTGAGGCAGGCAGTGAGTTTTGAGGAATTGCTATCCCATGTCATTCCCAATGAGCTGAGTCCTAGAAAAATCTTTGGTATTGCCAAAGGTCAGGTGCCTCTTCAATGACGGTTTCTTCTCATGTTCTCCTTTTTGGAATATCATCTGCTGTGGAGTGGGATCCATATGCGTGATTGTCATGAAAAGAGCTAGTTGGAGTTCACACATTATCTTCACTGGCCTGTGGTGTTGGGTCTCCTATTTCTGGCTTGGATGGGTAGTATAAACATAGTAGGAGGAGAGGCAGATATCATTCCCTCTTGGGTTGTCTCCTTAGTGCTCGGCACTGGCTGTGCTGGAGCATCTTCTGAAGGTTTTTTTTTTTTTGAGACAGAGTCTCACTCTGTCGCCCACGCTGGAGTGCAGTGGCGCGATCTCGGCTCACTGCAAGCTCCGCCTCCTGGGTTCACACCATTCTCCTGCCTCAGCCTCCCGCGTAGCTGGGATTACAGGCGCCCGCCACCACGCCTGGCTAATTTTTTGTGTTTTTAGTAGAGACGAGGTTTCACCGTGTTAGTCAGGATGGTCTTGATCTCCTGACCTCGTGATCCACCCGCCTCGGCCTCCCAAAGTGCTGGGATTACAGGCGTGAGCCACCGCGCCTGGCTTGAAGATTCCTTTAACAGAGGGAAATACTTTATAATTCTGTTAGATATTGACCTCGTGTCCATGTTGTAGGGAAAAAATGGCAAAGAAGCAAGGATGGAAATGGCTGTGCTAAAGAAATATTCAGTATAAAATTCGCATCCCAAAGTGACTTGGGAGTTAGATCAATTGCATTGTATGCAAAATAAGTATAGGAGAAGAAATATTCGCTGTCCTGATGACATATATCGGGCATTCATCTTTGAATGATGAGTAGCATACAGGTGATTGCAAATGTAGAGGACTTACCATAGTGCCAAAAAATGCAAATTGTGGGTAATTGTATAACTCATTGAGCAAAGATCTTAATAAGCAAACAGGCAGTGACTGGTGTGGATAGGACTAAATGATAATTTTGCAAATGGTTCTGATGTGTTTACATTGTACATAAAAATTTTATCCTTGGCCGTGGCTCACCCCTGTAATCCCGCCACTTTGGGATGCTGAAGCGGGTGGATCATCTGAGGTCAGGAGTTCAAGACCAGCCTGGTCAGTATGGTGAAACCCCGTCTCTACTAAAAATACAAAAATTAGCTAGGAGTGGTGGCACATGCCTGTAGTCCCAGCTACTTGGGAGGCTGAGGCAGGAGAATCGCTTGAACCTGGGAGGCAGAGGTTGCAGTGAGCCGAGACTATGCCACTGCACTCCAGCCTGGGTGACAGAGCGAGACTCCATCTAAAAAAAACCGAAACATTTTTATCCTTAATTGGAAAAAAATCTTCTGAGAGAACTGGCTATGGGCACTGGAATTTGATGTCAAAGAAATTTATCAAATCTCTCCCCATAAGTATTCAATATTAACAATAATGAGAGTCAGTAGTTATTGATTCTATGTGCTAAATTCTGTGACAAAAGTCTTAGATGCATTATCTCATTATATACAAGCTAAGTGTTAGTATCATCCTGCTTTTACAGATGGGGAAACTGTGGCACAGTAACCATGTAACATATGTTGTTACATGGTTACTCAGTAAGTAATGAAGTTGCATATAAAAAGTTCCGTTGGCCAGGTGCAGTGGCTCACACCTGTAATCCCAGAACTTTGTGAGGCTGAAGCGGGCAAATCATGAGGTTAGGAGTTCAAGACCCGCCTGACCAACATAGTGAAACCCTGTCTTTATTAAAAATACAAAAATTAGCCGGGTATGGTGGCACGCGCCTGTAATCCCAGCTACTAGGGAGGCTGAGACAGGAGAATTGCTTGAACCCAGGAGGCAGAGGTTGCAGTGAGCTGCACCTCCAGTGCACCACTGCACTCCAGCCTGGGTGACAAGAGGAAGACTCTGACTCAAAAAAAAAAAAGTTCTGTTAACCAAAGGTCACAGTGGAAATGGCATGGCAGAGGTCTATCTGACTAGAAATGGGCTGTGGAAATTTTAACTCTGGCATTTCTGTTTCTACACTTAGTAATAAATAATAAATCAATATTAATTTTCTCTTCCATTGGTACAAATAGAAAAACGGTTATATACTCTGTTCATGTATATTTCTGTTAGCTTTTCTGCCACGTCACCTTTTAAAATATTAAACAGATGAGTAAAAGTCATGTTTCATTTACAAATAGCTCTTTCTTCCTTCCAGCTGTTTGTGTCAGTGCTAGCTCTCATTAATAAAGAGAGATGAACTAGTTAAAATGTTAATGTTAAGTGGTAAGTATTAGGGAGTGTTCTGTTTTCGAGATACTGAAGTATAAGGTCTGTAACAGTAGCAATGATTGATGATGTTCTCTAAGGAAACCAGACCTCTATAAAATTGTGGGAATAACTAATGGTTACTAATTATTCCTCTGTTTACATGGCAGAATTTGCCCTCTATTATTCATGGATTTTTCAGTATATGCTATATCTAACCAGACACTTTCAATTTTTAAAATGATGCTATTCTAGTATTTGCATTTATTTCTCTCTCTCTAATATATATATATATATACATATATATATATATATATCTCCTACTGTGTGTATATATGGCCTACTATGTGCTAGATGCTGTGCTAAGTTCTAGACATAAAGATCGAATAAGATGACACAATCCTCATTTTCACAGGTGATTCTTACTTTCATGTGATTCTGCTGGAGGCAAATATAAAACAGATAATTTTATAAATAAACAGTTGTTTAATTACAATGCTAACAGACTGTCAAGGGAAAGCACAAGGTTTATGAAATGTCGGGGAGACTAATTCTAATACTAACGTTACACAAGGAAGTGGGAGCCAGATCATGCAAAGGCTTGTAAGCCTTTAGTGGATTTTATTTTGAAATCAATAATTAGTTATCAGGTAAAGATACTGAAGAGATAAGCATTTCCAGCAAGAGACTACTGAAATAGTGAAGTCGTCAGATGGTAGGGTCTTGCTTAGTGTGGTGGTCTCCGAAAAAAAAAATGAAGGGACATGATAGAAAGTTGAGTATGTATCTGAGGGCCTGGTTATGAGATCTTGGGATTTGAAATAACAGGAAATTTGGGTGTGAAAAACTAACTTTGATTTTTGACATGTCAAATTCCACATGACATTGGAGTATTCACAGGAACTCTTTATAATAAATAAGCCATGGTGTCCTGGCTAAAAAATTGGGAACCATTCCCAGGATTTCTGTGAATAGTTTTTACACTTGGGTAAGCCCAAGGAAGGGGCAGATGTTTTAAATTTGCACCAAGGTGGAAAGAGTCTGTGCATCTATAGTGTTGCATCTGGTGCCCAGAAGTTTTGTCATTTTTGCATTCACACATGTGCTGTATGACCTAAGAGTAATTTAAATGTGGGAATTGGCTGAACTCTTGAGGAATAAGTGCGAAGGGAGAGATTTAGAAGGCCATTATAAGTGAGAGGGAAGAAGGTGACGAACAAGGCAATCTGATGGAAATGTAATAATGTGAAAAGAAGGGAGACATTAAAGCAAGTACAGGAGAAGACATCAAGGAGGGAGAAGTCAACAGCGTCAAATGCAGCAAAATTTTTAAAAAGAGGTTAGGATGAGAAACAATTACTGAATTTGGTTATTGGAATTTTAATGAGAGAATTTAGAGAAAGTTGTGAGAATAGAAGCTAGATTTATTTCATTTATACATTCATTCATTGGGTTTAAGCAGATTAAAAAGGTGGGATCTAGAGGAAGCCACCTTTATGAAGATTCATTCAAAGAAAGCAAAATCTAATTATCTTTAAACTAAAAGTAAAAAAAAAATTGGTGCATGAGGAGAGGTTAAACTCAAAGTAAAAAAAATAATCAGTGCATGAGGAGAGATATTATAAAAGAAAAGGAAAACATATGGAAGTAGAACTTCAGAGATTTGAAAAGAGAAGGAAAAGCAGATAATTACAGGATTAGCTAGCATAATTTTAAACATGGATTCGTTAGCAGGAGAAAGTTTGGTTGTTAGGCTTAGGCTAGAGAGCCTACAAATGGAAATAAAAGACTAAATTTGGTTAAATTATTTAAGAATTTTTATTTCTAGTGTTATCTATTACAGTCCCCTAAATAGCTTTATTATAAATGAAGAGCCAATTTATGAAGACATTAGTGGGAAATAAGTTCTGAAAAATCAATTTTGTGTGTATGTAAACTGTATTTTGGTTTGTAGTTTACAGAGTTAAACTTATTTGTTTTTTATCTTTTAAAATCGTCTTATTCATATGGTAAATCTGAAAAAAATATTTTAATCAGATGAACAATGGAGATAGTAGTGTTTCCATATACTAGCAACAGATATTTGAAAAACAAAACAAAAATAACATGCTTTATAACAGCATCAAAATATTATATACTTACGAATAACCTTAATAAAAGTATATATGACTTTATACAGTTAACTAAAAAATATTTCTAAGAGAAATTTCAGGAAATCTAAATAAATGGAAGTTCAGCCCATTTTTATGAATGAGACCATTCAATATTTTTAAAATGTAAATTCTACCAAATTGATATTTAAACTCAATGCAGCCCCTTTTAAAATAGCTTTTATTCTTTTTTTGGGTAAACATTGTCAATGCGATTTTAAACTTTATTTTGAAAAAAAAAAACCTAGAATAAACAAAATAATCTTGCAAAAGAAAAATATTGGAGGACTTATACTACTTATACTACTTGACTTCAAGACATAGTATAAAGCAATAATAATTAAGAGAGTGTGATATTAGTATAAGAATAGAAAAATAGGTCAATAGAACAGAATAGAGTTCAGAAATAAACCCATCATATATGGTCAGTAAAGTTTTCAACAAAAGTACCAAGAAATGTCAATGAGGAAAGGAAATTTTTTTCAGGAAATTGTGCTGGATAAATATATGAAAAATAATTAATCTTAATTAATTACCTCACACCATTTACAGACATTATTTTGATATGGATTGCATACTTAAACATAAAAGCTGAAAGTATAACTATTCTAGAAGAAAATGAATAAAATGGACTTAATACAAAATTTAAAACCTCTGCTTTTTAAAAGACACCATTTGACCCAGCAATCCCATTACTGGATATATACTCAAAGAATTATAAATCATTCTTCCATAAAGACACATGCACACATATGTTTATTGCGGCACTGTTCACAATAGCAAAGACTTGGAACCAACCCAAATGCCCATCAATGATAGACTGGATAAAGAAAATGCAGCACATATACACCATGGAATACTATGCAGCCATAAAAAAGGATGAGTTCATGTCCTTTGCAGGGACATGGATGACGGTGGAAACCATCATTCTCAGCAAACTAACACAAGAACAGAAAACCAAACACCGCATGTTCTCACTTATAAGTGGGAGTTGATCAATGAAAATGCATGGACACAGGGAGGGGAACACCACACACCAGGGCCTGTCGGAGGGGGTGGGGTGCTATGGGAGGGATAGCATTAGGAGAAATACCTAATATAGATGACGGGTTGATGGGTGCAGCAAACCACCATGGCACATGTATACCTATGTAACAACCCTGCTTGTTCTGCACATGTACCCTAGAACTTAGTATAATACAAAATAAATAAATAAATAAATAAATAAAAATAAAATTAAAGGTAAGCTATAGAGTAGGTGATACTTGCAACACATATATCAGGCACAGGAGTTGTATTCAGTATACATAAATAACTACAGTTCAATGTTAAGAAGGCAATCACCCAATTATATTGGGCAAGAGATCTTAACAGAAACTTCACAAAAGAAGATATGAAATAGCCATTAAGCATACACAAAAAAACTGCTTAGCATCATTAGTCATAGGAAGATGCAAATTAAAGCCACAATAAAGTGTCATCTTGCCCCCACTGAAGTGGTTGCTGAAGATGAAAAGCAATAGAAACAATGAGGGTAGGAATGTAAAGTAGTAACATCTCTCTGGAAAACTCTTGGCAATTCTTTATCAAGTTAAATATGTAACTACCCTAGCACCCAGCAATTTTACTCCCAGGTATTTGTCCCAAAGAGATGAAAATATGTGTCCAGAAAATGACACATAAAAGAATGTTTACGTGTCATTACATACGAATAAAGGTGTCATATAGCACCTTTATTCAGGTGCTATAAACATTATTTATAATAACTCAGAACTGGAGATAACCTAAATGTCTATCAACAGCAACAAAAAAATGAATCAACAAATTGTGGTATTCATACCAAAAAGTAATACTCAAAAAGAACAAACTTAATACGTGCTATGACATGGATGAACCTTGAAAACATTACGTTGAGTGAAAGAAGCCAGACACAAAAGACTATAAATTGTATTATTTCATTCATGTAAAGTTCACAAATAGGCAAAACTAATCTATGGTGAGGGAAATCAAAACAGGGGCTACCCATGGGAAGGTGTTGCAAAACTCATAGAAAGATCTGTGAAATGCAGTATACACAATGTTTACATAAACAAACAAATAAATTGCTCTGTGAAAAACAACAGCTAATCAAATTGTTAGACTTTCTATAGACTAGGTAATTTTTTCACTGGGGAGGCTGTACGCCACAGAGGTAAAAAGCATAGACTCAGCAATCAGACTGCCGGGGTTGGAATCCTGACTTCACTACTTAGGCACTTCAAGCAAGATATGCAACATCTCTGCTAATTAATTTGTTCATCTGTAAAATGGTGTTTTTGTGCATTTTGCTTTCATCCTTTTCTCTTGCAGTTTGTTTGCTTGTTTGCCTCCACCTGAATTTCTGGTTGAGAAACTGGTGGTTTGCTATTTTTGTTAAGCCTCTCATCTTGTGATGATGCCAGGGATGGTTCAGATTTAGTCTGACATTGACGTAGCCCAGTTGTCTGCTAGTGGCTGTCTCTGCTCCCACCACAGCCCTTGACAATGGCTACAAGCTTCTTTGAAGCTGAATTTTTGGCCAGAGAAGTCCTTTTTATTCCTGGTTTCACAGACGGCCAGTATGTAGCACTCTCAGAACTTAATTACTCAAGAAAACTCTGAGTATCCTTGCCCCTTAACAATCCAGAGCTCAGTAGTTTCCAGGGCCAGTTCTGCCTTCTACTGTCTACTTCTGTTCTGTTCCTGGCCTACGTACTTTAGAAACTTGGTTTTTGTTGTTGTTTGTTTGTTTTGAGATGGAGTCTCACTGTGTTGCTTAGGCTGGGGTGCGGTGGCACGATCTTGGCTCACTGCAACCTCTGCCTCCTGGATTCAAGCAATTCTCCTGCCTCAACCTCCCAAGTAGCTGGGACTACAGGTGCACGCCACCACACCAGGCTAATTTTTGTATTTTTAGTAGAGACGGGGTGGTTGGCCAGGCTGGTTTCAAACACCCGACCTCAGGTGATCCACCTGCCTCCGCTTCCAAAGTGCTGGAATTACAGGTGTGAGCCACTGTGCCCAGCCTATAGAAGAGATTTGTATTTTTAAATTAAAACATTTGTTAATCTCTTGTTGATTTTGTTAGAGGGTGTTGTGTGGGGAGATATTCTGCATTTTACTGATGGGAAGCAAGGCATGCTTCTTAAGATTTTAATTTAAAATGTTACCAATATTACTACTACACGAATGATAACGAATGATAATCTCTCTTAGAGCTAACATTTGAGGGCTACTGCCCGTAAAGTTTATATAAGAAAGTAAATTGGAGGTTTGGTGGTTTAAGCACTTAGCCTGGTTTTGTCAACACTACTTGTGCCATCATAGTCAAATCACTTACTTTTTTTGAGTGTAAACATTCTAATTTATAAAGCTACTGGCATGAGCCAGATAAACTCTGATATCCCTTTCATTAAAAAAAAAAAAAAAATGCCAGGCCGGGCGTGGTGGCTCATGCCTGTAATCCCAGGACTTTGGGAGGGCAAGGTGGGCAGATCACTGAAGTCAGGAGTTCAAGACCAGACTGGCCAACATGGCAAAACCCCGCCTCTACTAAAATACAAAAGTTAGCCGGGTGTGGTGGCAGGTACCTGTAATCCCAGCTACTTGGGAGGCTGAGGCAGGGAGAATTGCTTAAACCCATGAGGTGGAGGTTTCAGTGAGCCAAAATTGGGCCACTGCACTCCAGCCTGGGTGACAGAGCGAGACTCTATCTCAAAACAAACAAACAAACAAACAAACAAACAAAAAGAGGTTGTTAACAGGCAAATCATAGGCCTGCTTTGATTTACCCATACACAGTCCTTTAATTTTTTAAAAAAATAAACTTTATTTTTTAGAGAAATTTTTGTTCACAGGAAAATTGAGTGAAAATTAGAGTTCCCCTGTCCCATATAACCCCTGTGTCCACACATACACAATCTCCCCCATTATCAACATCCTGCACCAGAGTAGTACATTATTTTTATATTATTTTGTTTGAGACGGAGTCTCACTTTGTCGCCCAGGCTGGAGCGCAGTGGCGCGATCTCGGCTCACTGCAAGCTCCGCCTCCCGGGTTCATGCCATTCTCCTGCCTCAGCCTCCTGAGTAGCTGGGACTACAGGTGCCTGCCACCACGCCCAGCTAAGTTTTTGTATTTTTAGTAGACACGGGGTTTCACTGTGTTAGCCAGGATGGTCTCGATTTCTTGACCTCGTGATCCACCTGCCTCGGCCTCCCAAAGTGCTGGGATTACAGGCGTAAGCCACCACGCCTGGCCCAGTAGTACATTATTATTATTATTATTATTATTATTATTTGGCTTGTTTGGTTTTTGTTTTTGTTTTTTAGAGATGGGGTTCTCACTATATTGCCCAGGCTGGTCTCAAACTCCTGAGTTCAAGCAATCCTCCCACCTTCACCTCTCAAAGTGTTGGGATTACAGGCATGAGCCACCACACTCGGCCTCACAATGGTACATTTGTTACAACTGACAAACCTTTATTGACCCATCATCACCTAAAGTCCATAGTTTACAGTGGGATTTGCTCTTGGTGTTGCACATTCTATGGATTTTGTCAAATGTTTACTGATATATTCACCATTATAGTTTCACATAGAACAGTATTACTGACCTAAAAGTCCCCTGGGTTCTATCTATTCATACCTCCCTCCCCACTGACACCTAACAACCACAGATCTTTTTACTGTCTCCATAATTCTGCCTTTTCCAGAATGCCATATAGTTGGAATCATGCAGTATGTAGCCTTTTCAGAATGACATTTTTCGCTTCATAACGTGCTTTTAAATTTCCTCCATGTGTTTTTATGCTTGATAGTTAATTTCTTTGAGCACTAAATACTATTCCATGTACCACAGTTTGCTTATCTATTCACTCACTGAAGTACATCTTGGTTGATTCCAAGTTTTGGCAATTGTGAATAAAGCATCTATAAATATCCCTGTTCAGGTTTCTGTGTGTATATAAATTTTTAACTTTTTTAGGTGAATACTAAAGAGCACAGTTGCTGAATTGTATGGTAAAAAAGTATGTTCACTTTTGTAAGAAACTGCTGAACTGCCTTCCAAAGTGGCTGTACCAGTTTTCATTCTCATCAGCAATGAATGAGCATTCCTGCTACTCTACATCCTCAATAGCAGTTGATGTTGTATTTTGTTTTTAGTCATTCCAATGATGTGTAGTGCTATCTCATTGTTATATTTATTTCCAATTCTCTAATGACATATGAAGTTGAACATCTTTTTATTTGCATACTTACCATCTGTGTATCTTATTTGGTAATATATCTTTTCATATCCTTGGCCTATTTTTAAATTGGGTTGTTTGTTTTCTTATTGTTCAGTTTTTTTTTTTTTTTTTTTTTTTTGAGACACAGTCTCACTCTGTCACCCAGGCTGAAATGCAGTGGCATGATCTTAGCTCACTGCAACCTCCACCTCCTGGGTTCAAGCGATCGTCACGCCTCAGCCTCCCAAGTAACTGGGATTACAGGCGCCTGCCACTGCGCCCGGCTGATTTTTGTATTTTTAGTAGAGACGGGGTTTCACCATCTTGGCCAGGCTGGTCTCAAACTCTTGACCTCATGATCCACCTGCCTCAGCTTCCCAAAGTGCTGGAATTACAGGCATGAGCCACCGTGCCCAGCTTATTGTTGAGTTTTAAGAGCTCTTTGTATATTTTGGGTAACAGTTATTTATCAGATGTGTAATTTGCAAATATTTTCTCCCAGTCTGTTTCTTGGGTTCTCATTCTCTTGACATAAGCATATACATGTATATACACATGTACATATACATTTCTTTTCCTAGATAATGTCTTTGGTGTTGTATCTAAAACATCATTATTATACTCAAGGTCCATTAGGTTTTCTCCTATGTTATTTTGTAGAAGTTTTATAGTTTTGCATCTTACATTTAAGTCTATTATATGCTTAGAGTAATTTTTTTTCAAGGTGTAAGGTCCATGTCTAGATTTATTGTTTTTTTACATGTGGATTTCCAGTTGCTCCAGCATCATTTATTGAAAAAAAACTTCTTTTAAATATTTTAATGCTGGTTCCCAGCATTTAAAAATCAGGAGATTTTACCTAAAAATCAGTTGTTCATCTTCCCTTGAAAAAAAATTTAAAGAACTGGAAACACACAGTCCACCTTGCCACATGGTGCCCATAGTAGGCACTAAGTAGTGTTAGCCTCTATTAGCTGGGTCATATATTCCATGGGCTCCTCATTCCTTATTGTATTCTATATTCTCAATGTGTTGATTCATTTATGTTACTTCATGGCCTCCACAGGCATTTGAGTTTAGGCTGATAGTTCTCTAACTTTCGTTTGTACAAGAACCACCAATGGAGATGAAAAACCATGAGTGTCATCTCTAGAGATTCTAATTCATCAGGTCTCTGGTAGAGTCAAATAATCTGTATGTTGCTGAAACAGCATCACAGATGATGTATCTGATAGAAACTGTGGCCTTCAATAGTTGCTGCTTTAGGCTATTTTACACAGCAATTGTCTTACTACCTTGGATGTTAAAACATGAATTTCTAATAGATAGACCACAAACAGTTTTAATAAATAAAATATCACTTGTTGCCCTACATGTGCCTTGTCTTTAAATCAATGATTCTTAACTTGGAACCTTCCTAAAAGAGCTTCATGTTTTGTATATGAACATGTGGCAGACACTGTTGGATTTTGTTTGAGGGACGCAATGAACCCCACTAGAAATTCACATTTCTCAGCCTCCCTTGCAGCTAGGACTACACATGTGACACATTCTGGCCAGTAGAACATAGGCAGAAGTTACTGGATAAAAGGAATTTACTCAACTGCAGAAAGCTTTTGCCCTCTATCCTTTCCTTTTTCCCTGTCTGAAATACAGATTCATGTTGGAAGTGGAGCATATGTCTTGTTAAAGGTTGCGGAGCAGAAAAGTGAAAGGCCACAGGTCTGCTTGTATTGTGGAACTGCTGTAACCAGTCCTATATTGCTTAACTCTGGGGAAAAAAAATCTCCTACTTTGCTCAAGTGACTGGTCTGGTTTTCTTTTTTTCATTGTCAAATTCTATCTTAACTGGCAGAGTACATTTTCCCTCTGGAAAAGGTTCCCTTTCATCACATTTTCAAAGGGATTTATGATCCTTACAATAAAGAAAAACTTATTTTCTCACATGCTTTGGTTAGGACATTATATTGGAATTCACAAAACAAATTAATCAGTGCACCAAAGCTTATATTTTCTAAAGAAAGTTGTATCAGTCAGAATTAATTTATTTGAGAGGAGATGGAATGAAACTTCAGCATACATTTATTCCAACATCTGAAATACCTAAGTAAAGCAGGGATAGTTCTTCATAGAAAGTGACAAGAAATACTAATGATTTACTATATTTATATTATTCTTTGTATTTTTCAAGACACTTTCAAATGAAATGCGTGGACCTGTGCCTTGGTGACAATATTCAAAAGTGTATTGTGCTATCTAATAATATTTTTCATTTAAATTGTTTTTCTTTAATTTGCTAGTCAATATGTTCTACTAGAAGAAAAATCAAACTATTTCATAGTGCCAAGGTTAGAAGGAGCAGTACAAGTCATCTACTGTCTAGACTGCTGAGTTGCTGTAAAATTTGGCTATAACCAAACACCTTTGGTCAAAAGTATTAAATGTGAAGATGAGGATTCATGAAAGGTGGAGTATTGCAGGGTGTCAGGGCAGGGGGAGGGGAGTGGAAGCAACTCATCTCAAGAGAACACAGCAATCCCAGAGTAGACGAATACAGAGAGGAAAGAGGAAGGACACATTTTTCAGGTAGCAAAGCCCTGTCTTAGCAGGCTTGGCGAAGATGAAAGTGGAGGTACAGTACAGGAAGCTTTCAGTTTCAACTTGGAAATCTGTCTGTCTTTTTTGTTGTTGTTTATTGCTGCTTAGTTTCTGAGGGTCTCTGTCTCACATTCTTAGAATAACCAGATGGCTGAAAGCTCTGGGTGGAGTCAGTTGTCATCTGAGAGGGCTCTTATAGCAAGAAAGCTCCAACTCTGGCCATGAAATCACCGATTCTGGCCATGCCGTTGGGCTGATTCTCTCACAGTTGTTTCCTCATTGATCACAAAGGTGCTTAAGAGTTATAACATTTCATAACATCACAGCTAGAAGGGACCTTAGAAATCATCTAGCCCGGAGTTTCCTAAACTGTATTCCATACATTTGTGTGGACATTTGTGAAGAAAAGTTTATGTCATCAAGTGAGTTAGCTACTATCAGAGCTAAGCAGGTTTCTTAGTGCAGGACTTCCAACAGTTTTCAATGTGTTTAATGTGCATTATGAATTTCCAACAGGGGAATATAGTATGCAGGGCTTCTCAAAATGTTTTCATCATGGATCACAATTTTTTTGGTCTACAAATTTACTCACAGGATTGGGGCACAGGATACACATTGGGAATGCTGATCTAGTGGAAGCCACTTAATATTCTGTGGTTAGTATTCAAGTCATTTTGACTTTGTACAAAATAATGTGAAAATTTTAGCTTTATAGCCCATGTGTGAATTTCTCTTAGGATGCATATAAACTCCTTGGGGGTGGAAGATAAGGCCCCTCAGAACACTGGTGTCAGCAGGAACCTAAGGAACAATGAAATAAAAATGGTTATCGTTCTGCATGACAAAATAAGGGGAATCCGTTTTTTTCTTTTGAGAGATAAAGAGAGTCTAGGGAGAAAGGAAACAGTGAGGTGAGGTGAGGAAGAAAACCAGATGAGGTGAAGGGCCTCAGAAATGTCCCAGAATTAGGTTCTAAAGGACTGGAGGCTGCCTGCTATTTACTGTGAAGTTGCTCCTATTGTTATAATTTAAACCTCCTCTGTCATTCTCAAGTGTTTAGGAAAGTCATTTTTGGCCACAAATGCAGTGTTTAAAAGAGTATTTTCAGTGGAAATCCATGAAAGATCTGGATTTCATATCTGTATCAAAGCAGTGAAAAAGGCCGGGCGCGGTGGCTCACGCCTGTAATCCCAGCACTTTGGGAGGCCGAGGCGGGCGGATCACGAGGTCAGGAGATCGAGACCATCCCGGCTAAAACGGTGAAACCCCGTCTCTACTAAAAAAATACAAAAAATTAGCCGGGCGTAGTGGCGGGCGCCTGTAGTCCCAGCTACTTGGGAGGCTGAGGCAGGAGAATGGCGTGAACCCGGGAGGCGGAGCTTGCAGTGAGCCGAGATCCCGCCACTGCACTCCAGCCTGGGCGACAGAGCGAGACTCCGTCTCAAAAAAAAAAAAAAAAAAAAAAAAAAAAAGGCAGTGAAAAATAGCAAAAGCATGTGTAAAAGTAGGAGTTGGGCATGGAGAAGACCATGAAAATATAAGACCCTGGGAATCTGAATGATATTTCTGGTGCATTAAATGGGGAATTTGGGCAGATTTTATTAGAAACTCAATGGTCAGAAGGACCCTAGCTGACATTTGGGCCTACATTACCAGCATCATCAGATCTCAATGGACATCTAGGGATATTACACACATATATTATCATCACCCACGCCAGGGTTAGGATGCATTGCTGCCAGAATTAATACAACAATAAATTAGGACAAATAACCTATAATAGAGACTAGCTAACTAGTCACAAACCATTCCTTCTTTCTCCTTGGAACCAGCTAGACTATATTTCTTAGCTTGTCTTACAGTTAGGTGTGACCATATGATTGATTTCTTGCCAATGGAATGTAAGCAGAAATGATAGGTGCCACCTCCAGACCTTGCCCATAGAAACCTTTCTCACACAAATTTCTATATTCTTTCTCATTTGACCAATTTGATATAGCCAAGTGCTGTGACATTGAAAACACTGCATGCAAAAGATGGAAAAACCACAAAGAAGAAAAAGCCAGGGCCTCCAACTCACCAGTTAGAGGAACACTGTGCAAAAATCAGGATAGCCATGTGGACTAGATCTGAGTAAGCGGAATGTTATTGATTTAGTGCCTCTCAGCTTCAAGTTCAGTATTTCTTTATATTACTCAGTGAAAATGGGTTTGGGCTCTTTAAATATTTTTCCACTGCTTTTGTTGCGATTGCTTTTGACATCTTCGTCATGAAATCTTTGCCCGTGCCTATCTTTTGAATGGTATTGCCTAGATTTTCTTCCAGGGTTGTTATAGTTTCAGATTTTACATTAAGTCTTTAATCCATCTTGACTTGATTTCTGTATACTGTGTAAGGGAAAAGTCCAGTTTCAATTTTCTGCATATGGCTAGCCAGTTCTCCCAGCACCATTTATTAAATAGAGAATCCTTTACCCATTGCTTGTTTTTGTCAGGTTTGTCGAGGATCAGATGGTTGTAGGTGTGCAGTCTTATTTCTAAGTTCTCCATTCTGTTCCATTGGTCTATGTATCTGTTTTTGTACCAGTACCATGCTGTTTTGGTTACTGCAGCCTTGTAGTATAATTTCAAGTTGGGTAGTGTGATTCCTCCAGCTTTGTTCTTTTTGTTTAGGATTGTTTTGGTTATTTGGGCTCTTTTTTGGTTCCATATGAATTTTAAAATAGATTTTTTCAAATTCTGTGAAGAATCTCAATGGTAGTTTAATAGGAATAGCACTGAATTTATAAATTGCTTTGGGCAGTATGGCCATTTTCACAATATTGATTCTTCCTATCCATGAGCATGGAATGTTTTTCCATTTGTTTTCGTCATCTCTGATTTCTTTGAGAAGTGGTGTGTAGTTCTCCTTGAAGAGGTCCTTCACTCCCCTTGTTAGCTGTATTCCTAGGCATTTTTTTCTTTTTGTGGCAATTGTGAATGGGAGTTCATCCATGATTTGGCTCTTGGCTTGCCTGTTGTTGTACACCACATTTTCCTTATCCATTTGTTCATTGATGGACACTTAGGTAAAATCCATATTGTGATTATTGTGAATAGTGCTACATGTTTATTGGCGTGCACATATCTTTTCAACACACTGATTTTATTTCCTTTGGTTAAACAACCAGGAGAGGAATTGCTGGATCATATGGTATTTCTGTTTTTAATTTTTTGAGGAAACTCCACACTGTTTTCCATAATGGCTGTACCAATTTACATTTCTACCAACAGTGTACAACAGTTTCCACTTCCATGTCAACATTTGTTATTTTTTGCCTTTTTGCTAATGTTCATTCTAGTTGGGATGAGGCGATATCTCATTGCAGTTTTGATTTGTATTTCCTTGATGATTGTGATGTCAAGCATATTTTCATGTATCTATTGGCCGTCTATCTATATACCTTTTTTATAAATATCTGTTCAGGTCCTTTGGCCACTGAATAAATAAATAAATATATAAATATATATCCATATATCTTCTTTATAAATATCTATTCAAGTCCTTTGGCCCCAGAAGCAAATAAATAAATCAATTTATTTGCTTCTTTGAGTTCATTTATATTCTGGATATTAACTCCTTGCAAGATGCATAGTTTGCAAATATTTTCTCCATTCTGTGGGTTGTCTCTTTACTCTGTTGACTATTTCCTTTGTTGTGCAGAAGCTTTTTATTTAGATGTCATCCCTTTTGTCTATTTTTGCTTTTGTTGCCTGTGGTTTTGAACTCTTATCCAAAAATCTCCTTGCCTGGATCAGTGTAATGAAGGATTTTCCTTTGTTTTCTTCTAGTAGTTTCATAGAATTGGGTCTTACATTTACGCTTTTAATTCATTTTGAGTTGGTTTTTGCATACAGTAAGATATAGGGGCCTAGTTTCATTTTTCTGCATATGAATATCCAGTTTTCCCAGCACCATTTATTAAAGTCTGTCCTTTCCCCAATGTTTGGCACCTTTGTCAAAAAAAAAAAATGTGATTGTGAAGTATGTGGATTTATTTCTGTGTTCTCTATTTTGTTCTATGTATCTATTTTTATGCCAACATTATGCTGTTTTGGTTACTATAGTTTTGTAGAATATTTTGAAGTTTGGTAGTAAAATGCCTCAAGCTTTATTTTTTTGTTTGTTTTTTTGCTCAAGATTACTTTGGCTATTTGAGATCTTGTATGTTTCCATATGAATTTTGGGATTTTTTTCCTATTTCTGTGAAGAATGTCATTGATATTTTGATAGAGATTACACTGAATATGTAAATCACTTTGGAAAGTATGAACATTTTAACAATATTAATTCTTCCAATCCATGAACATAAGATATCTTTCCATTTATTTGTGTGATCTTCAATTTCTTTCATCAATGTTTTACAGTTTTATTGTCTAGACATTTTACCTCCTTGGTTCAATTTATTTCTTGTTATTCAATTTTTTGTAGCTATTGTAAATGGGATTGCTTTATTGATTTTTTCAGATACTTTGCTATTGGCATATGGAAACACTACTTATTTTTGTATATTGATTTTGTATCCTGTAACTGTACTGAATTTATTTATTAGTTCTAATCAATTTTTTTGTGAAGTCTTTAGGCTTTTCTATATATCGTATATGGACATGTCATCTACCAACAGGGACAATTTGACCTCCCTCTTTTCAATTTGGGTGGCCTTTATTTCCTTCTCTTGCTGAATTTCTCTGGAAACTGCCCAATCTTTAGTGTATTTAATTTGATTGGAACTTTGAAGAGGTGGGAAATATTTAAACAGCATTTTTTTTCCATGAAAAGTTTTTAATTGTGGTAAAATATTCATAGCATAAAATTAACCAAATTAATTATTTTTAAATGAATATTTTAGTGGCATAAGTATGTTTACATTGTTGTGCAACCATCATCATCACCCATCTCCAGAACTCTTTTTATCTTGCAAAACTGTACCCATTAAAAAATAGCTCCACATTTTTCTTTCCTCTCAGCCCCTGGAAATGAACAATTTATTTCCTCTCTATATAAATTCCCTGCTGACTCCAGGAAACATATGCATACAGTATATTCCTGGGGAAAGGACAGTCTTCCGTAAATGGTGCTGGGAAAATGGGCTATTCATATGCAGAAAAATGAAACTAGGCCTCTATATCTCACCATTTTGAGTTGCAAAAACCAATTCAAAATGGATTAAAAGCTTAAATGTAAGACCCAATCTACTCTCTCTATAAATTTGCCCACTCCAGGAAACTTATATACATACAGTTGTAGATGACATGACCATACACAAACACACACACACCACACACAAGTATTTGTCCTTTTGTGACTGGTTTATTTTATTTAGCATGATGTCCTCAAGGTTTGTTCAAGTTGTAGTGTGTGCTAAAATTTTCTCCTTTTTTAAGTCTGAATAATGCTCCATTGTCTGTATTGCAAAAGCTGTCAGAATCAAAATGGAGTCACTTGTGTTAAAACCCTGACAAGCAGAGCAAGTGAAGGCCATGAAGAGAGGGTTCTCACGCATGTATACCTGATAACAAGAACTATCACAAGACTGCAAAAAACCACAACCTTGCACAAAGGCCACACAACCTTACAAAAAATTACTTGGGTGACAACATCTGCCCAGGTACTGTCTGTCCAACCTTGGACTGATGCCATCTTTGTTATTGATCATTGTAATCAAGAATAATTATCTCAAAACAATTAAGTAGTCTTCATTTTGCCTTTAAAAACTTCCCCTTACCTCAACCTCTTTGAATATGCACGTAGTTTACCATGGCACACATATGCTCATCACAATGCTACTTCCAATAAATACCATTTTCCTTTAGAGAGCCTATTTCTCTGTTAGTTAGTTTGACAGTATATACTGCATTTTGTTTACCCATTTAACTGTTGATAAATGGAACAACTGTTGATAGACACTTGGGTTGCTTCCACCTTTTGGCTATTGTGAATAATGCTAGTGTGAACATGGGTGTGAAAATATCTCTTGAGTCCCAGTTTTCAATTCTTTTGTCTGTGTAGGCAGAAGTAAAATTGCTGGATAGTATGGTAATTTTATTTTTATTATTTTATTTAACAAACAGCATATTGTAACTCTTCTAGTTAATGTAAGGATTATCTGAGTCAGTATATGATCACTAATACCTTCAGAAAAAATGGAAAATTTTGAAGTAAGCAGCTACTCAATTGTGAAACCCACAGAAGAAATGTATTTTTATGTACCTTCTCCAGAAGAGGTCATAATTAATTTCATACAATAACATGGCTTCTCTCAGAGCACCTGTTATTGAACTACAGTGTTAATTCATGAAGGCATAAATATGACAAGAATTAAAGTTTTATACTGTTTGCTAATATCACTTTGTCAACACACTCTTGAAACCCTAAATCTGGGACATTTAAACCCTGTCCACTCATTTTAAAGCTAATCCTTACCCAAGACCATGGAGCCTATGCTATTACTAGTTACGAGTACTTCAAAGAACATCTGTTCAGTGGTTGGCTCAGCATCAATTCAGCCATTTTATTCACGACCATATTAATTGTCTATAAGGACACCAGAGTGGGTTTTAGCTTTATTCAGCCTAATAAAGCTGTATAGGCTTACTCAGCAAAAATGTTATTAGCTTTAAGAAAGAATAAAGTACACACTTATGCATAAAAACAGTGTCATGTAGGCCACAAGCTCCCAGATGCTTCTTCATGATCACTGTTACCACATGGGATATGCTTCCATCATGTGGGATAAGAACCAGCAGGCATTTGAGTCATATCAGCACAGGACAGCCCCAGGGGCTTGGATATTTTCAGTTTAAATACTTTGCTAGTCTTCTTGGATTTAGCTCTCATTCTTTAATTTAGCTGTGGTCCATAATTTACCAGATAATATAATAGACAAACCTGACAACCAGATACCATATGCTCAGGGACATTTATTTCCAATCAGACACATTCTTTTAGTTGATGTTGCAAGCAATTTGTCCAATGGCCAAGTTTTACTGAAGTGTTCCTGTAACTAGAGGAGAGGATTGAGTGTCCAGGGGTTAACCCATTCCTTCCAGGGTATTGTCCAAAAGAGATGGGCTCACATAATTTTTCTGTGACACAATTTTACATACTGTAATTTCAGTCACATCACTTTTACTTGTGTTCATATATTTACAACCCAAAAGTCATCAACTTTTATTTAGAATCAGGGGGTACATGTGCAGGTTTGTTACAAAGGTATATTATGTGACGCTGAAGTTTGGAGTATGAATGAATCCATCACCCAATAATTGATCATAGTTCACAATAAGTAGATTTGCAACCCTTTCCCCACTTCCTCCCTCCCACCTCTTTTATTCCCCAGTGTTTATTGTTCCTGTCTTTATGTCCATATGTATTCAGTGTTTATCTCGCACTTATAAGTGAGAACCTACAGTATTTGTTTTGCTGTTTGCATTAATTCACTTAGGATAATGGCGTCCAGCCACATCCATGTTGCTGCAAAAGAGATGACTTCATTCTTTTTTTTTAACGGTTGCATAGTATTCCATCATGCATACGTACTACATTTTTAAAAAAATCCAGTTCACTGTTGATGGGCACCTAGGTTGATTCCAAGTCTTTGCTATTGTGAGTAGTGCTGTGATGAACATGTGTGTGTGTCTTTTTAGTAGCACAATTTATTTTCCCTTGGGTATATACTAAGTAATGGGATTGCTGGGTCCAATGGTAGTTCAACTCTTAGTTCTGTGAGAAATCTCCAAACTATTCTCCACAGCAGCTAAACTAATTTACATTCCCACTAACAGTATGTAAGTGTCCCTTTTCTCCACAGCCTTACCAGCATCTGTTATTTTTTGACTTTAGCAGAAGCCATTCTGACTGATGTGAGATAGTATCTCATTGTGGTGTTAATTTGCATTTCTCTGATGATTAGTGATAATGAGCATTTTATCAAGTTTGTTACCACTTATATGTCTTCTTTCGAGAAGTGTCTGTTCGTATTATTTGCTCATTTTATCATTGGGTTGTTTTTGCTTGTTAATTTCTTTAAGTTCTTCATAGATTTTGGATATTAGACCTTTGTGAGATGCATAGGTCTAATATTTTCTCCCATTCTATAAGTTGTTTGTTTACTCCCTTGATAGTTTCTTTTGCTGTGCAGAAGCCCGGTACTTTAATTAGATCCTATGTGTCAATTTTTGTTTTTGTTACAATTGCTTTTGAGAATTTAGCTAAAAATTCTTCGCCAAAGCTGTTATTGAGGAGAATATTTCCTAAAATTTCCTCTAGGACTTTTATAGTTTGAGATTTTACATTTGAGTCTTTAATCCATCTAGAGTTAATTTTTTTATATGGTGATAGGTAGGTGTATCCTATCACCAGTACATGGTGATAGGATTTACCCATCACCAGTTTCATTCTTCTGTATATGGATAGCCAGTTATCCCAGTACCATTTATTGAATAGGGAGTCTTCTCTATTGTTTATTTTTATCAACTTTGTCAAAGATCAGATGGTTGCAGATGTGGGGCTTTATTTCTGGGTTTTTTATTCTGTTTCATTGGTCTGTCTATTTTTTCTACCAGTACCATGCTGTTTTGGTTACTGTAGACCTGTAGTATAGTCTGAAGTCAGCTAATGTGATGCCTTCAGCATTGTTCTTTTTGCTTAGGATAGCTTTGGATTTTTTTTGGGCTGTTCTTTGATTCCAAATAAATTTTAGAATTTTTTTTTGAATTATATGAAAAATAATGTTGTTAGTTTAATAGGAATAGCATTGAATCTATAAATTACTTTAAAGCTATCTTAATTTCTAGAAGAGTGGAACTGTGTTTTCATCAATTCTTCCAAGCCTTGTATTCTGGTTACTGAATTTCAGACTTGCATTGAGGGCTTCATATCACCTGATCTTACAATTGTATCTACCTAACTACCTGCCTACTTAAATAAATTCATGTTCTAGGAGATCCTTGGTCAGAGTATCCTTTCTAGGTTTGATTTCCCTAACCTTCAATATATGCCCTTCTGATGAAAGTGTCGTCACTGCTCTGGCACGCACAAATAGTAACCTGCAATATCCATTCCTCTTTTCTGCCTTCCTGGTAAAGCGAGATTTATTTGTGTTTGTACCTTTCCTCCCACAGATCAAAGTTAAAACCTGAATAATCCTATTCCTCTTGATGGTGATTGCTTTAACTATGAGCAAATAAACACTTTCTGGATAATGCTGGAAATATTTTTCTACTGAGGTCTGAAGTAAGGGTAAGCTGATATGTATAATTTCATTTAACCCTCCCCAAACCACCAATTAGATACTGTTAGCTGCTTCTTTCATAGACTAGAAAACTGAGGTTGAAGATGCTAAATAATCATACCACTCAATAAATGCTGAAATGCATTGTGCAAATAATTTCCATAGAGGAAATAATATAGTAAAATTATATCAAATCTGATATTGTTACATGGAGAAGCTTAATGACTTTTTTTATTAGATTCTTTCTCAAGTTAAATGAAGCTATACATTAAAATATATCAGATTCTGGTAATAATATCAGATGGTGTTTCTACCTTTGCAATTACTGAACTCCATACATACCAAGTTCTCTCTCAGGGCAGTATCCATGCTGTATCTCCAATTCTTAGCACATCATTTGAGTGCCTGCCCTCAATAAAGTTGGTTAACTGACTAAAAGAGTAAATTCTGAAAATTTTGTTTTGCAACTTCCTGAATGCATCAGGCTGTTGTGCAGTTGAGTTCTTGAACAAAATGAAAAAAATATAATGATACAAAACATGATTTAATCATTAAATAAAACTGGCCTGCATTAAGGAAATGACTGGTCTTGTCTAAATAGAACTATTTCAGTCTCCTAAGAGAAGCATCAGCTCAGCAAACAATAACCTAATGATTAAACATTATGTAAATAACCTTTAAAGATAATGATTTTACATAAAGATTGTGATTTACATAAAGATTACGATTTTAACTGATATTATCAAAGGTTTTATTTCTATTATTTTTCCAACTGTCATCTTTTCTAACCAATTTTCCCAAGGCTAGGGAGAGGAAATAGTAACATTTCTGTATCAAATATTTTGTAAGTTTTAAAGTTAATTACATGAAGAACCCAAAAACTTATGTTTTAGCTCTCATTTTAGAGTCTCAAACATTGATAAACCAAGCATAAATGTGTTCAAAATGTTGTTTGTTTTGTTGTTGTTGTTTGAGAAGGAGTCTCGCTCTGTCGCCCAGGCTGGAGTACAGTGGTACCATCTCGGCTCACTGCAACCTCCGCCTCCCGGGTTCAAATGATTCTCCTGCCTCAGCCTCCAGAGGAGCTTGGATTACAGCCGCGCGTGCCACTACACCCAGCTACTTTTTGTATTTTTAGTAGAGACAGGGTTTCACCATGTTTGCCAGGCTGGTCTTGAACTCCTGGCCTCAAGTGATCTGCCCTCCCCAGACTCCCAAAGTGCTGGGATTACAGGCATAAGCCACCCGTGCCCGGCCCATTGTTTCTTCTCACTATTCTGGCTACCTCATAAAGTACAATACCAAACTGTAATTTTGTATTAGAATTTCTCATTATACTTGTAAAGACCTATAAAATTTACTAATTGCCTGTGACATTTGTAAAGATCTTAGAAATGAGGATATGCTATACATCTTCCTTTTTAAAATTCTTTTTTCTAAACTTGCAAAAATTTAATCTTAATACATATCTATAGTTATACCCAACCAATAATCTATACATATATTTCATTTCAAAAATCAACATAATAAATTGTCATTTACCAACCTTTACTACTGTGTTAACATAGAATATTTTCCTTAATTTCTAATTCATTTTGTAATCAGCTTCTTCCTTATAGCTTTGGGAATGTTAACTGGTGAGCTTCAATCAAGTATATTTTGCTACATTTTAAGAATGACAGGCACTGAATGTTCTGTTGTATTGTTTGGGGCCATCATATCAAGTTTTCTTAAATTTTTTTTTCTGTAGCCATATTGGCAGCGGGAAGACTCATGAAGCAATTTCCAAAAGAAATTGCTTCTGGGAGTCTTCCAGTGAATTTGCCAGTGGATAAACTTCTTATTATATTACAAAAATGTTGTTTATCTCATTAAAAGAATCTTGAATTATAGGAAATGTTACTTAAAGCAAACTGAGATAAAAATCTAAATCCACTGCAAATAGGGAAGTTACTGGGCTTTTTGTTCCAGCCAATGGCAGTTTGCCTGTATGCATAACAGCCAACAATTTAAATCCTGCTCAGTAGCTTGCACATCACACAGAGATAGCCTATATAGCCTCTGGACCACTCTCTAAGTAAAGATAAGATTTTTCATGTGTTTGCTCACCCTATTTATCTAGGGAACTGAGACATGCATTCATGAATGCATGTCTATATGATGCCATGAATACCAGCATCTCTTTATGCAAGTTTCTCTCATTAATACTAAAACAATACTCAAGTTAGTTACATTCCATTGAGCTGGCCTTGAATTGCACACAGGCATAGAAAATGTTGCTTAGCAGATGTGATTTCAGGAGCCTGGGGAAAAGCACTTTTTCAGAAAAACAACACTGCAATTAAAAAGATGCAACCACCTGTTCTTTGATATTTGTAATGTTTTAAAAGTACACATGGATATAGATTCAATGATTAGATAGCTCTGAAAGTAATAAACTGATTTAATTTATACTAAATATCAATGGCAGATATTGGATTGCTTTTGGAAAGCAATGGTGAGAAAGGACACACCACTAGGCACCTCTGAGGAAAATGGAACCATACAGGAGAAAAGGACTGTAGAAAAGGGCTTGGGGAGGCAATATAAATTACAACATTTGACACATAATTATACAAAATTTTGTATATTTCCAAATTTTAAACTATGTTGACATTTTGTCATATTCATTTCAGATCATTTTTATTTTTTAATGGTGAAAATTAATGTTGAAGTCCCCTCCTTTCTTTTCCCAGTGTATGCTTCTTTGTCTGGAGCAACAATTGTGATGTTACTATAGAATTAGTTTGTATTTATTTTGCTTTTATTGCATACACATGTGTCCAAAACAAATGTGAAGTTCTTATCCTATTTTTTTTCAATTTACGTAGCTGGTTTCATATACTGATGTATTTTTCTGCAACTTTCTTTTTTTCACTCAGCATATTTTAAAGCTGTATCCACTTTAATTGTGGAATTATATTCACTTGTTTTAATGCATCACAATGTACTATTCATCCCCCTCCCATGAACATTTAGATTATTTTCAAATTTTGACTATTTAGTAAATATTGATGCAATAAACATTCATGTCTCCTTCTGCACTTGTGGTAAAGCCTATCTAGGATTGCATATGCCCATTGACTACTTTGCTAAATACTGACAAATTTCCCTTTGTGACCATTGTAATTGTTTTGTTGAATGGGTAACAACTTGGACAGCTACAAACATGTTTTTCTTTTTCAAATCAATGCTTGCAACTCTGTTCTTTTGAATCTTTTTTTCCGCTGGGTGGTAGATTTCTTAATGGTATTGTGAGTAGATCTTATAACTTTTGGTTAATTTCAATAATTACAACTTATTTCATGCCAGTTAAAACTTCAGTATCACATCCTGTTCAGAATTATCCCACTCCCCCGTTAAAGTGAAGAGATACGGCTGTAGGGACTTGTAGAGAAGAGGGCAGCATGATCTGCTATTTTACTCTTAACATCTTAGTGGCAAGATGGAACTGGTCAGGGTGTGATCTACCTTTGTAAAACTTCCTCCGTATCTCTTGCTCTAGATCTCCGTCTTTGAAGATAGGCCAGATAGGATGGGTGAAAGCAGAGATCTCACATAACTGGTTTCCTCAGGTGGTTGAGGAGTTCTTTGTCTCACTGAGTTACTGTAATTCTTCCTGCTGCTTGTTGCCTTCACTTTTGTTAAGCACATAAAAAGTAACCATGGGTTTTTTTGGATTGGTGTGCAGCTTATGCAGCCCCACTGATATCCAGGACTGTTTCAGAGAGGTAGCCATGACTACTTTCAACCCAGCTAGTTGTCCATATTCCCAAATCCTTTTCAAAGAGAACATCTTGCTTAGTTGGCCCTACCTCCTTTCTCTAAGCTCTGTTCTCCAATGCACATTGCTATGGAGACCACTGAGTTGCTTGTACGCAATTTCAGAGGACCATAATATAGGTTCCTCCTGATCCTTTTATTTCCAGGTATACTACATCATGGTGCCTACCTGCCCTTATATTGCAACTACCCTATCAAGCCTCCCTCCTTCAGAAATATTCAGGTGAGGAGCAGAGAATAGTCTCATTAATCATGTATGCCCTCAAACTCCAGGGGATATATATCAACATAGCCCAAGAACTCCTTCACCATGCTCCATCCCCTTGCAATCCCACAATGATCCTAAGACTGAAGGAGAATTCTGCAGCTCAGCAGGCCACCAGCTGGGGTGTGAGATGCCATCTTCCCCTTCTTGCTAGCACCTATATTATTACATGATTTTTCTTGGAGTTTGCCTCCTTTATTTTGCCTTGGAGCAGGGAAGTAGCCTCTCTTGCTTTTATGACAAGAATGGGGAAAATCAAGAACATTACATTTCCTACAAGACGAAGGTTCGTAATGTTTCTTTCCTCACTCTTCTCCCTTGTCTTCTTAACCAAAGGAGGAATGGAATAATTCCTGAAATAGGACCTTATTTATTAAATGTCAAAGAGGCTCTTCAACTTCAACACAGGTAGCATTTCTTAGAATGTGGAACATGAGATCACATTCTGTATTCTGTTCAGTGATTGGTCTAATTTATTCCTCTCCTATCTGTGAAAGTGTTCCTGTTTCCCCACTGCTACACAAACGTCTGATTATCAGGGTCTAAAATACTCATCAATCTGATGGGTATTTTCTTTTCTTGGTAGTTAAAACAACTTTTCATTCTTATTTTCCATTCAGTGTTTTCTTTGTGAATAATCTTTTTATATCATCTTCCAACTTTTCTATTTCTCTACTGACTTGTGTAAGCCTTTTTTTGACTTAGTGTCTATAATCAAATGTGCAAGTTTTAAAAAGTATACTAATGCTTTATACGTTGCAAATATTTTCCCCCAGTTTGTGTCTTGCCTTCTCTATCCTGTTCTACAGTTTTATGTACATTTAAGTCTATGTTTAGGCTTCTTTTTCAGCTTTCTTGACCATTTTGCCTATTCTTGTGCTGTTATATACTCTTTAGTTTTTAATAAACTAAAGCAGTACTGATATCTGGCATCTTCCTGTTTCCCAAGCGTCTTATTATTTATTCAGGCATATACATGTCAGAATTAGTGTGTCAAGTTCCATAAAGGACACTGGTGAAATTTTTATTTAAATTACATTGATTTTCTAAATTACTTTATAGAAAATTTTCTTCCTCAGAGCTTTCCCATCCATGCTCATTTATCTTCATTTCATGTCTTTTAACTAACCTTCAATAATATTTATATTTTCTTAGTAAAATTCCCACATATATGTTATTATATCTTTCCCTAGATACCATATAGCTTTTAAATCTTTATTTTATTACACTTTCTCCAGGCATACCTGAGAGATCCTTCAGGTTCAGTTCCAAACCACATTACAATAAAGCAAATATCTCAATAAAGTGAGGTACACAAATTTTTTGGTTTCCCAGTACATATAAAAGTGATATTTACACTATACTATAGTATATTAAGTGTACCATAGCATTATATCTAAGTAAACAATGTAAACACCTTAATTAAAAGATGATTTATTGCTAAAAAATGCTAAGAATCATCTGAGCCTTCTGCAAGTTGTAATGTTTTTTTGTTAGTAGAGGGTCTTGCCTGGATGTTGATGGCTGCTGACTGATCAGGGTGGCGGTTGCTGAAAGTTTGGGGTGGCTGTGGAATTTCTTAAAATAAGACAACAATGAAATTTGCCTCATCTATTGACTCTTACTTTCATAAAAGATTTATCTGTAGTCTGCATTGCTGTTTGATAGCATTTTACCCACAGTACAACTTATTTCAAATTGGAGTCAATTTTATTCACAGTAGAACTTATTTCAAATTGGAGTCAATTTTACCCACAGTAGAACTTATTTCAAATTGGAATCAATCCTCTTAAGCCCTGCTGCTGCTTTATCAACTAAGTTTATGTAACATTCTAAGTTCTTTGTTGTCATTTTAACAATGTTCACAGCATCTTCACCAGGAGTAGATTCTATCCCAAGAAAATACTTTCTTTGCTCATCCATAAAAAGCAACTCTTCATCTATTCAAATTTTATCAGGAGATTTCAGCAATTCAGTCACATCTTCAGGCACCACTTGTAATTCTAGAACATTTGCTATTTCCACCACATCTGCAGTTACTTTCTCCACCTAAGTCTTGAACCTCTCAAAGTCATCCATGAGGGTTGGAATCAACTTCTGCCAAACTCCTGTTAATGCTGATATTCTGACCTTCTCTCATGAATCACAAATGTCTTTAATGGCATCTAGAATGGTCAATCCTTTCCAGAAGGTTTTGAATTTACATTTCCCAGATCCAGTAGAGGAATCACTGCCTATGGCGGTTATAACCTTATGAAATGCATTTTTAAAATCGTATGACTTGAAAGTCAAACTTACTTCTTGATTCATGGGCTGCAGAACTAATGTTGTGTTAGCAGGCATGAAAAAGTAATTAATCTCCTTATACATCTCCATCAGAGCTCTTGAATGGCTAGGTGCATTGTCGATGAGCAGTCATATTTTGAAAGAAATCTTTTTCTGAGCAGTAGGTCTCACATTAGGCTTAAAGTATTTAGTAAGCTATGCTGTAAATAGATGTGCTGTCATCCAGGCCTTGTTGTTCCACTTCTAGAGTGCAGGCACAGTAGATTCAGCATAGTTCTTAAGGGCCTTAGCATTTTTTGAATGGTAAATGAGTGTTGGCTTCAACTTGAGGTTGCCAGGTGCATTAGCCCCTAACAACAGAATCAGCCTGTCTTTTGGAGCTTTGAAGCCAAGCATTGACTTCCCCTTTCTAGCTATGAAAGTCCTGGATGGCATATTCTACCAATCTAAGGCTACTTCATGTAAACTGAAAGGCTACTTCATGTAAACTGAAAATTTATTATTCAGTGTAGCCACCTTCATCACTGATCTTAGTAGATCCTCTGGGTAACTTGCTCCAGTGTCTACATCAGCACTTGCTGCTTCACTTTGAACTTTTATGTTATGGAGACAGCTTCTTAAACCTCATGAATCAACCTCTGCTTGCTTTCAACTTTTCTTCTGCAGCTTTCTCACCTCCCTCAGTTTTCATAGAATTAAAGAGTGTTAGGGCATTGCTCCGGATTAAGATTTGGCTTCAGGGTATGTTATGGCTGGTTTGATATCTTATTCAGAGCACTCAAACTTTCCCCATATTGGCAATAAGGCTGTTTTGCTTTCTTCTCATGTATGTGTTCACTGGAGTAGCACTTTAAATTTCCTTCAATAACTTTTTTTTTGCATTTAAATCCTGGCTACTTGTTTGGTTCAAGAAGCCTAGCTTTTGGCCTGTCTCAGCTTTGGACATGCCTTTCTCACTAAACATAATCATTTCTAGCTTTTAATTTAAAGTGAAAGACATGCAACTCTTCCTTTCACTTGAACATTTAAGGCCATTAAGAGTTATTAATCAGTCTAATTCCGATATAGTGCTTCAGCAAAAGGGAGGCTCAAGGAGAGGAAGAGAGACAGGGGAATGGCTGGTTGGTGGAGCAATCAGAACACACACAACGTTCATCAATTAAGTTTATCATCTTATATGGATGCAATCTGTGGTGCCCCAAAACAATTGCAATAGTAACATCAAAGATCACTGATCTCTCAGGTACACTTCTAATTGTTATCGACAGTCTGAAGGATCTCTTATTAATAGCGTGCAAGGCTAATGATTTTGTATGTTGAGCTTATAGTTAATAACTTTGCTAAGCTCTCTTATTATAATAATACGTCAATAAACTTTCTTAGATTTCCTACATAGATAATAAGTTTGTCTTCAAATAATAGCAATATTCCTGTCTGGTTCCTGATTTGATAGGAATACAAGTTCACCATAAATGTGAGATAGGAAAGTTTGTTAGGGTTTTGCTTGGAAGTATGTCAAATCTATGGATTGATTTATTGGTAAGAATTGACTATTTTATAATATTTTATTTTATTTTATTTCTCAGAGAACAATGTATCTGCCATATCCCTCTTTTTCTGCATTTATATTTATATTTAGGTCTTAAGTTATAAATTTAGACCTTTATGTCTACTAGTAAAGTTTTAAATTATCCCCCAAGTGTTATGCATATTTTATTATGTGGCCAGAGGGAAACCCTTCAACTTGGCTCTTGAGCCCTTTGGCATGGTCTTAGCAGTCTTTGTTAACTGGTATATCAAGATGATATATAATTATTTTGTACATTTCTCAGGTCAACTTGGCATCATCTTTTTCTCTAAGAAGCCCTGGTGTTTTTAGAATGAGAAGTTGTATTTCAAGGCCACTATCTGGATACTAATGGCATGCGTGCTTTTTTATTGTCTTTTGATTTTTCTGTTTCTGTTTTGCTTGTCTTTTCCCTTCCTCCTTTTCCTTTTTCTTTATAATGTGGGTCACATAAAAAAGTGAGAATACACCCTTCTGCATTTTCCTCAATGCTTGTATACTTCAATATAAACACATTATATTTATATATATAAACATATGTAAGTATTTGCAAATATAACAGTGTGTTACCGTTTCAAGAATGGCAGTCATTATAAACCACATTTCCACATTCTCAACATAGTATAGTGATTAAGAAAACAAACTTTGTAGTCAGCCATGTTGGGTTCAAATCCTAGCTTTACCATTCACCAAATCCGTGAGTGTGTGCTCCTTGTGTTTTAATTTTTTCATCTGTAATATGAGTATAAATGTATTAACCCCACAGATATTGAGAAGTAAAATCAGTTAATATATATTGCTGGTACACGCAAAGTACTAGATAATTGCCCATTTTCTTCTTAATTATTATTATAATCATCATTAAGTTGCTTCTTGGTCAATGATATCTCATAAAATTCCTTTTCCAATAATACAAGCATTCTTTTTCCACCTTTCCAATTTCTTCACTGTAATAAGTCTATTCAGATTTTTAAATTTCTTCTCGAGGCCAAAGTGAATGGTTTTAGTTTTGCTAGGAATATCATCCTTTCCAGAAGTTTGTAAATTTAAAGTTATAGAGTTACACATAATATTTTCTAATAATTATTTTCATTCTCCTTTTATATGGTTATATTTCTACTCTAGTTTCAGAATTCAGAGTGCTCACCATTACACTATGGAACCTCACTTCGACTCTAGTTTCTAAACTCATAAGTATGTTTTCCTCTTTTGTTTTTCTTGACAAAATTAATCAATGATTTTTATATTTTCAGGGAACCAGCTTTTGGATATTTTTTCATTTTGAAAAAATAATTAATTTTAAGATTCCTCTTGTTAATTTCTTCTTTTACTTTTTTTAAAATTTATTATTCTTTTTCTAATTTCTGATGGTGATTACTAAATCCCTTTAGTTTTCACCTGAATACTGTTCTCACTGTGGCCTGTTAGTTTTGATGTATATCCAGCGGATATCTATTGAGCACTTACTGTGTTCACTGACTTAGGACCACGTAAACACAAAATTGTTGTCACAGAGATGCCTATATTCTAATAAAGTTTGTGCGCTATTTTATCTTCTGTGTTCTCTTTTCATTGCTGTCTATACAGTTTGTTATCACCTTTATACTTTCTTTGATGCAAGCATTATCCAGGAGCATGTTTCCTAATACCTAAGTACTTAAAGTTTTCTTTAAACATTTGTTTTTCACTTAATTAACTTTTTTTCTGAGATTTTCTTATAGCAAGTCAAATCATCAATTTGGAAATACGCTATTTATTTTTTGGCTAGCTCAATCTCAATTTGAAAGAAGCCTATTGTAGAGTTTTATTTTAACAGTCTACATATCAAATTCCTATTTCATTTGGAATGTTTTTGCTTTTTGTAATTAGCTGCTTTATTTTTTTGTGCATACTGATTGCTTCTTCTTCAAAAATTCTTGTGTCTATTCTGATTTAATATCTCTTTGTATCCTATGTATTGCTTTTAATTTTAAATTTCACTTTGTTGGTATTCTATTCCCTCTACTTTTTTTGTTTACCTTTGCCTGGTAAACTTTTCTTTGCATAATCCTTTATTTTATTTTAATTTTATGTTTAATTTTTAAAAAATTTAATTAAATGTAATTTAAAGTTCCGGGATACACGTGCAGATGTGCAGGTTGGTTATATAGGGAAACGTGTGCCATGGTGGTTTGCTGCATCTATCAACCCATCACTTAGGTATTAAGCCCCAAGTGCATTAGCTATTTATCCTGATGCTGTCCCTTCCCCACCCCCTCACCCCATGCAGGCCCCAGTGTGTATTGTTCCCCTCCCTGTGTCCGTCCATGTGTTCTCATTGTTCAGCTCCCACTTATAAGTGAGAATACTCTAAACCTTTATTTTTAATCATTTTTGATAACTTTGTTTTATGTGTATTTCTTCAAAGCCACAAATGGCTTGTTTTTTTTCAACCCACTCTGATTAATGATAGCTTTAAGTTTGTTCACATTTAGTGTAATGACTAATTTACTTGGTTTATTCCTTCTATCTTTATGTTTGTGGTTAATTTTTTTCTAAAGTCCCATTTCTTTTTTGCTATTTTTGCTGGGCTGATCAAGTTGCAATTTATTCTATTTTCTCCTTGTTAATATGGAACTTCTACTTTATTTCTGCATTTTCACAATGATTACTTTTCCTTTCCTGGTCATAAACAGATTGCTAGCTATCATATAAAAATGAGATACAACTCTTTACCAAGTGATTATATATAGCTGTTCTAAGTGTCTCACAAACCCATTTGGATGAGACTTTTGCAATGCTTTTACTTCCCTCTCTTTCACCTCTTCCCCAGAGGAGATCCTTAGAATATTTTAATGTATTCACTCTCCCAACTTTAGCCTCTATCTTCTAGTTATTGTTGAGGTAGCTTAGTATTTTTATTTCAAATATATTTTATTTTATACCTATATAAAATATTTCCAGCCTTTCATTATTCCTGTAAGGGTAACTATGTTTATATGTTTGAATATTATAAGATTCATTACTCAGTGTCTATGTCTTTCATCTTCCCCACTCTTGGATGATGTTTCGGCCCTGGTTTACTTATTTTTACTTGCTTTAAAATTTTAAGTTGACATTTATTTTTTCTCATCACTTTGAAAATATCACTTCATTGATTTCTCGCCTCTTTGTTGTTAGTCTGAGTATTGTTTCTTAAAATATAATCTGTTTTTTATTCTTTGATAATTTTGAAGACTTTCTTTTTTATTGTATAGTTTTCATTAGATATGTCTAGGTGTTGATTTAATTTTGCTTTATTTTGCTTGGAACTCTATAATTTTTCTACGTGAAGATACATGACTTTAATCAATTTCAGAATTCTCACTGTTTATGGGTTTAATCTCTATTGCTCCCATAATATATTTATTTTTCTTTTATCTTTCTCTTTTTTATCTTGTTTTTTTATCCTTAGTTTTATCTTCAGTTTTTGTAATTTTTTAGCTGTGTTTAATCTTTCACCTAACATTTGCATTTTGTTTTTAATTTTAATGTCTACCTTTGTATTTGTCAAAGTTCTACTCAGTTCTTTTTTACATCTGTTTATTTATTTCATAAGCTTTGTACTGTTGTTAACATTTTTGTTTCTTGTTTTAGGTATTTAATCGCTGAAAAATACTCATATCTTTTCTAATTTTTAAAAAAATTTACATGAAGTTCATGTGTCTTTACTTCCACGATTTTTGCTGTATCTGCTCACTTTCACTCATGAATTGTTTTTCTACTGTGCTTTTAATTTTTGTGTGTGTGAACTTATTTTTAGTAGGGCTTAATTTTTTTTTTTTTTCCTGTGGAAACTCTTTGTAGCTTGAGTTGCAGGAATATTCTCCATGACTGGTTTTGCATTGTTTCTGTTATGTATTCCAAGGATATAACTGTTCTGGGATGATTTTTATGTTAATCTTTAGCTCAATGCAAAACCAGGAGTTTGATGTTTAGCAGAAATGTTTGTTTTTTCCTACTCAGAGTCCCAGCAGAGGTAGATGAGTTGTGCTGTATTTTCTCTTCTACAGTGAATGAATTTTTATATATCTATCCTTTTACTGAGTAGCCTAGACTTTATGTGGAATTCTCAGTTTTAATTTTTTACTTTGCAAGGGTCATAGCCCTTGCTGACTGCCTCAGGTGCACATTAAAACCCAGCCCCTAATTTATTGGACCGATATGAATCTATTACTATGAGAGAGAGAGCTGCTACAACAGCTCCTATCTTATGTCTCTGATTATCAGTTTGAACTTCATTTCTGTTATGTGAGGATTTTAATTTCCTAATTGTGAGCTCAATAATCCATTAAAAATCTTTTATATCTTTAAATTTGTATCCATGATTCTGGATGTTTTTAGCAGGATACAGTTATCTTAGTTACCACTGTGTTCAAAACAGACAATTTTATTCGTCAACTCAAGAGTTTATTGTGTTTAAGAGATGATTTTAGTCTCTTTGCATTATAGTTCATTCTATATATTTTTCTTTTACATCAATATTTATTATAATAAACTTCTTCTTCCAGTAACAGCAGACTAGCTTGTTATAGATCAAATCTCTCACTGAAAGCAGCTAAAAAGAAAGACTCATGTAGACAGCATGTATCTGATAGCATCAGAGAGCTATGAAGGGATTGAGGCTTGAGAGGCTAAGATTCTGGAGATTCTTAGCCTAATATTCTGAAGATTCTTGAGAGGCTAAGATTCTCAGAGAAGTGAGCATAATGTTAAATGTTACATTTTCTTTCCAAGTATTTTCAACTCTAAAGTGGCAGCAGAGAAGTTAAACTGATAAGAAATCAGTAGCCAAGAGGTTGAAAAGCAAGAGAGCTTGTGGCATTCCCACATAGCTGTGTAAAACAAATCAAAACAAAACTGGAGTTTAGGGCCCACAAAGAGATGAGGTGCTAATAACACACAAGGCTTTCCATTGTGAACCTAAAGAAATAAGGTGAACAAAAGAAGACCAAGCCTCAAAATGACTGAAGCCCAGCCTTGAAATAATTAATATCTTAATGAATTAATATAATCTACTCCTACTCAAATGTCTGCCAGAAGGAAAAGTAACACTCTCTGGTGGAAGATGACATCACTCAGGACTTAAATTTGTCTTCCTTTGACTATAGGCAATTTCTGTCAGTCAATAAAAAAAAAACCAAGCATGCACAAAGTAATACATACATATACTATATTTTTGGTTTTGTTATACATATGTGAATTATCTTATACGATGTATATGAGATATATGATATATACATTTAAATTTTTATCTTAAAACATAAGAATAGATTCACAGGAGATGTGAATATTGGAATTAATAGACACTGACTTTAAAATAGCAATTGTTAATATATTCCAGAAAATGGCAAGGGGAAAACATTCAAGAAATAATTGAATACTATGAAAAATTAATTGAAAAATCTAGAGCCAGTTTAAAAACACAATAATTATGAAATCAAGAGGTGGTCTTAACAGATTTAACTCACTTGAACAGAGAATTAGTATACTAGAAAATGAGTAAGAGGAAATATCTAGGCTAGATTACAGAGATAGGAAGAATATACAGCAATGTATATCTGTAATGGATATAATAAAATTATGTACCATATGTAAATTAGGAATTCAAGAAAGTGAGTGGAGAAGGAATTTGACAAAAGCAGTATTTGGAAATTTAATATCCAGGAATTTTTCAAAATTGACTATAGAGATAATGTTATAGATTTTCTCAAGAATTTTTGTGAGTTTTCAGCAGAATAAATGCAGAAAACATCATACCACTGTAGTAAAACTACTCAAAACCCCAAATAAAGGGAAACCTTAAAAGCATCCCAAGAAGATGAATACATTACCTTCACAGGAGCAACACTAAGGCTGACAGCTGATTTCTCAATAGAAATAAATGAGAGTGGGTTGAAATCTTCCAAGTGCTGAGAAAAAATCACTGTCAACCTATAATTCTATAATAAGTAAAAATTTCCTTCAAAAATGAAGGTAATATAAAATATTTTTGGGAAAAAAGGCAGAGAATCCATTATCAGCAGACATACATTAAAGGAAATACTAAGGGATGTTCTTTAGGCAGAAGAAAAATTATCCCAGTACATGCAAGAAGATATATGAGTAAATCTAAATCAATATTAACTATTTAAAACATTTAAAAATGAATCGTGACTATCTGAGAGACACACACACACACTTGCACACAGGTGGCATTGAAATACACAAGAATAGTACCAAAGCAGGTGAGGTGAATGTAAATGGAGTTAAAGTGTTCTATGGTCTTTTCATTGTCCAGCAAGCTAAAACTAATTTTTATGAAAATTTAGTAAGACAAGAAAGCATGTAATTTACATTTAGTGTAATTTTGATTCATTTGGGTTTTTATATATGATCTTTTTTACTTGTTTTCTAATTGACCCATTAGTTTTATGGTTTTTTTTTATACTTTAAATTTTAGGGTACATGTGCACAATGTGCAGGTTTGTTACATATGTATACGTGTGCCATGTTGGTGTGCTGCACCCATTAACTCGTCATTTAACATTCAGTATATCCCCTAATGCTATCCCTCCCCGCTCCCCCCACCCCACAACAGGCCCCGGTGTGTGATGTTCCCCTTTCTGTGTCCATGTGTTCTCATTATTCAATTCCCACCTGTGAGTGAGAACATGTGGTGTTTGGTTTTTTGTCCTTGTGATAGTTTGCTGACAATGATGGTTTCCAGCTTCATCCATGTCCCTACAAAGGACATGAACTCATCATTTTTTATGGCTGCATAGTATTCCATGGTGTATATGTGCCACATTTTCTTAATCCAGTCTATCATTGTTGGACATTTTGCCTCCTTTCTTGAATTTTTTTACATTAATCAAATATATTTTACTACTCCCTTATCCTCTCTGTTAACTTGTCAGTCATACAGTCCTTGCCCTTTTCTTTAGTTGTTAGCTTAAACCTTACTTCATGTATTCATGTCTTATTTTTAGCTTAATATAACTTGTTATTTCTATGATTTATTCACTCTTGTGTTCATTCTAATTTGGTCTTTATTTCTGAAATAACTTTTAGCATTTCTCTTAATTCTTCCCATATTATTTTATCTTTCTTTTTATATCTTCCCTGTTTCTTACCATCTTGTTTCTCAGTTTTTAAAATTCTAACTTTTGTTGTTCTTTTATAATTTTGATACTTCTCTCAATTTTTAAATTCTCATTTGGAAACATTAGATTATAGTTTTACTTATACTTTTAACCTTTTTTTTGGTGTGTATGTAGGAACATTATTTTGTGTAACAACTTCTCTTTACCTTGATTAAATAATTATACAACCTGGGCAACATAGCAAGACTCTGTCTCTTTAAAAAAATTTAAAAATTAGCTGGGTGCAGTGATGCACACCTATAGTTCCAGTGACTTGAGAGGCTGAGGGAAGAGGATCTCTTGAACCCAGGAATTCAAGGCTGCAGTGAGCTATGATCATGGCACTGCACTCCAACCTGGGCAAAGAGCAATAACCTGTTTCAGAAAAAAATTATATTGCCTAGTTTTTTTTTAAAAAAAGATATGAGTTTTGCCTACCTTTAGGAGTAAGAGGTATCCAACATTGCATTTATGTCTCAATTTTGTTAAAGTAGAGGCTGGCAAACTTTTAATGTAAAGGGCCAGATAGTAAATACTTGATGTTTTGTTGGCTACATAAAGCTTCTGCCTCCTTCTCTCCTTTCCCCTGTTTTTCTCCTGCCCCTCCCCATCTTTCCTTTCCTCTTCTTCCTCCACCTTCCATTCCTCCCCCTCTTCCTCCTTTATCTTCTTCCTCCTCCCCTCCTTTCCTTCCTCCTTTCTTTCTCTCCTCTTCTTCTTTCTCCTTCTCCTTCACTTCCTTTACCTTCATCATCTACTTCATCATCTTCCTCATCATTTTCCTTTTTTCCTCCTCTCCTTTCTCCCTTTCTTCCTTTTCCCTTTTCTCTTCCTCTTCCTCCTACTCCTTCTCCTTCCCTGCTTCCCCCCGGCAACTTCTTCTTTTTTTCTTTTTCTTCTTTCCAATCTTATCTTGTAGGGCTACAGAAAATCAGCCACAGGCCGCATTTGGCCATTGGGCTGTAGTTTTTTGACCCCTAACAACATTGAATAAACAAGTCCAGATTGATTTATAACACCAAGGGTATTAAAGCATTCCTTCCATTTTGCCAAGTGATTAAAATACGGTCTTATATTTTCAGATATTGGATTCTTCTGTTTTTCTCCTCCACTGTTATATGGATCTCCTCTTTCTTTATCTTTCCATATTTACCTGTGTCTTTTTAATTGATATCCTACTACCAGCATTTTTTCTTCAGTGTAAAGCTTTGAAGTCAGATTTGTTAGTGTCAAGAGTTTATGAGACCCAGACTGCTCCAGCACAACTACAGCAGAGTCCATTATAATCTCCACTCAGCATGGATTTAAAAAGCTTCCGCTGTGGTTTTTAGACTTATCCACTACACTTTCTGGAGGATACTTTTTCCTGATTTTAGAATTCTCCTATTCTCAGAGCAAACAGAAGACCACATGCCTTCTCTCCACTTCCTCCCACAGAAATGCTGACACCATGCAGCATGGAGATTTCAGAGTTTTTACTACCTCCTTATATTTTGAGATCTGTGGGCTTATCTTGCCACCTAGTTTTGTTAGAGATGCTATTCATGGGTTTTTGTTTTGGCTTTTCTAGTTGCTCTCTCTGTTTCTATGGGGGTTTTTGGGAGGTTCATAAATGAAGCTTTGGATGTCGAAATAGTCCACACAACTTCCTCTCTGATTTGCTTTCCCAATAAAACAAGCTGGTTTCTGTGTGGAGAAAAGACAATAGGAAGAGTAATAGGAGACAAGTGCAATAACACTGACAGGAGAGAATGGTGGCATGGAATATGGTAATTGTAAAAGTAGTGAGAAGTCATCAAATTTTGGAATCTCTTTTGATGCTCTCACTTTCTTATGCAGGGTTCTGTTCTCTAGTCCAGCAATTCTATTTTACTGTAAATTTGTTCTATGATTTTTGTTGGCTGATGGTCTCTCTTAGATGGGTTATGTTTTTTCTTTGTTGGCTCATTACAACTCAGCTTTAGCTGTGGGGAGTCTTTCAAACTGTGGGAGTTCCAGAGGTGGTGGAACGTAGAAAGGTTTCTATCCCTGTAGCCCTCAGTTGCAAAGGCAGGAAGTCTGTCTGTTGTTGGCTGAGGTACCTGGCAAAGCCTCTAGTTATTGTGTTCTTGTGCCTTCCAAACTTCAGGTGCAGGTAAATTTATAGTAGTTCTCCCATTACTCTTTCTAGGAACACCTGTCATATTCATAAGGAGCTGATGGCAAATTTACTTTTGGAACCCTTAAGTGGCAAGTTCTTCCCAGTTCCTGTTGCTTTTCATTCCTGACCTTGGCTTGACACTTGGATAAAGTTTCATAATAGTTTTTTTATGCCAGGGTAAGCCCAAAGTCTCCCTTCAATTGTAGATCCCAGAGGCATTTGGTCAGGAAAATAAAATAGCTTAAAGTTGAGAGTGGAGGGGAAAGGTCACTATCCTACCATAATTTTCTCTTAACAATCTTCTTTCTAACCTGATTATCTTTAACATCATCAGAACCCGATTAATCTTGTCTTAACATGTTTGTGGATTCAGTAGATTTAGTTAGTGGATTGCCATTATGGTATGTTTTCAAATTATTGATAATAGTATGATGATTATAAAAGTAACTATAGAAAGTAGAACATTGTGTATGAATCTGGATTTATCTATTGAAATTTATGACTTGTTTGGAAATACATGAAAACATGTCAGGATTGTTGTTCTCTAGCTGTTTATTGCCTCATCAAATGGATAGGATACATGTGATTTTGAAAGAAAATGAAGAGAAGAAAGAAAAATAAACCTCCTATACAAGGCAGCACAAAGTTTCATATGTGTTTTTAGACAAGTTATGTAGAAATTGAGAGGACGGGCATGTAGTAAAACTTTAACTCATTACTTGGGATATTCTTCATATTTTATATTGATATGGCTAGGCAATAGTTAAGTTTTATTCTAAAAACATGTATTTATTAAAACTATGTGCTAGACTCTGGCAATTCAATAATAAAGGTAACACCATCCCTCGCTGCCAGGAGTTCATGATTTAGAAGACTGCAATCAGGATTGTATCCATTTTGAGTTAATTTTTTTCAGGCTTTGTCTTAGTTTACTTTGTGACCAACAGTAGAATAGTATTGGTCATGTTTAAGGATGACAGTTGTGATGGGGGAACAGAGCAAACAAAAATAACAAGGAAAGAAAAAGAAAGGAAAAGTTTTGGTGTTTGAACAGTGTTACCCTTATTATTGAATTGCCAGTGTCGGTGTCTATTGAACAAAATCTCAGTGTTCATAATGGCTGGTGCTACCAAGGAAATCAGCAAATGTAGAAGTCCAGATTTGATGGTGATTGTTTCAGTTGGATTTAGAAAGTTGCTATGAACGTGATGGTGTTGAAGTCTGTTTCCCAATGTGTGGCAGTACTAAGTATAGAGACAGAATTTCCATTCCATTCCTAGAGTTGACCTTGTTGTTAGAGTGTATGTGGGAAGTGGAAAACAATAAACTTGACTCAGAAGTTATGATTCACGATTCACTAGTACGTAGAGATTTTTTTAGATGCAACTTCAATCATTTTTAAACTGAATCATTTTCTAAACTTATTTTAAGCAATTGATTTTCCAGTAATAACATTCATCTTTGTGATGTCAAAATCATTAATAATAAAATATTTGTACATAGTTCTCTGAGTAATATATAATTTCATTATGAGGCTAAATGACATGCATACATGTTAGCTGTTGATAATAAGAACACTTATAAAGACAAATATGTGTTTTTCTTTTCTTTCCTGTTTTTAAAGATCAATGAATTCTTCCTTTGTTTTTACTCTGCTTAGCAATTCGCTCAGATCCTCTATCAGACATGGATAAATATGCCAAGAAAGGTCACTGATCTAAACAGAGTGGTATTATATCCTAGAGAAAAGTTGTACAGAGAGAGAATTTATTCTTAGTTTCAGTTATGAAAGCATAATACTTACGTTTCTAAACAGAATAGTGAATCTCCAAAAATGTATTTAGCAGCTCATAGAGCCTTTTTTGAGGTTTTTGGGTGTGGTCTGTAAAAATCAAGGGCTAAAACGTTCAGATTTGTTTTCTTGTAAAGTAAAAAGTATAGTCATTTGTCTTATTCATTCATGGCTCATATCAAGGTATGGAATAAAATCCAGAAAAACTCGACATTTCTCAATGTCTTAGTGGCTGATGGTTTTTTCAGAATATTATAAATACTTTCAAATTAAAAGCATGTAAAAAGTCTGATGCAGGCTGAAATTATTCAGTGTTCCTGACAAAGGGGACTTTGGCCACTTTAGAGTCATCATATCTTAAGTATAATCTTAAATATAATGTTGTATTTCCTTTTCAATATAATGGATTGTATAAGAGTTCCTCAAGTACACATTCATAACACTAAAAATGTTTTTTAAATGTCAAGAATTCAAAACATTCTATTTCTTCAATTGTTTCAAGGTTGCCATGGCTTTAAAAGAAGCATTGAAGTATTCAAAAATCCTTTCTCTCAATGGTCCATGGCTTTCCTAAGAAGCCAGCATTGCTGCTATAGTGGAACCAGGGGCTCTTAGTGGCTATCGAAGCTTTGTTACTGCTGCCAGAACACAAAATAAATGAAGGTCATGTCTGAATATCCTTAGAGAATCCTGTCTGCAACAGATCAACTATTGAATATTTATAATATACAGATAGTTTTGGAAACTTGGAAAAATATCTCTCAGGCTGACTTTAGAATTTTTTTTTTATAATTTACTCAATTTTAAAATCCTAAAGTACAATGCATACCTATTTGTTTCAGGAAGATTATTCTGACTGCCATCTTCCTTAGGCCTCACTGTATCATAATCCCTATGCCACTTGCATGCATATCCATCATCACTGACTTGTTCCTTAAGGTAAGAGGCCACGTCATATTTATCCCTGTGCTTTCATTGCCTGGTGAGTGCCTGCATCATAGTGAGAGTAAATAAATCTATGGAATAAATCAACCCTAGGTTCAAATTCAGGAGGAACAACAAATTGATAACAAAGAGGATAAGATACTCTTGTGCAATCATGTGTATCGTATCAGTATTTCCACGTACTAATTATTTGTCATCCATTTGCTCTTAGAACTATCTTGATTCTCTTTGTTATGGATATACAGTTTCCTACCAAAGTTCTCCTACAAATGAAGAATTCCAATTTCCAGGGGCTGGAAGCTTAGTCTGAAGGGATTGTCATATTTTCAATATTTTTATGTTTGGTATTTTTAAAATAACATATAATTTCCCTTCTATTATCTCTGTTTATTTTATTATAGACATTATATAAAACATAATATATAAAAATAGAATTGCTCCATGTTTATTTGGTTATAAATATGTCTTTTCTAAATCTTCAATGAAGTTTGATAATCCAGGCATATTCATTATACTTATCCTATGAACTCTTATATGCTCTAACTCTGATAAACATGGCATTAACATATGTCTCTTTAACAAGAGTCCATTTCCAGAACAAAGGTTATTTTTCAACAGTGTCTTGAGTGATATTCCCACATAACAAATAGACAACCTTAGGCTCTTTCTGAGATTGAATTTGTTGTGAAATATTATATTTAAAAAAATTAAAATGATAACTAATAAATAAATACAGATTTCTTGATTGATTAATCAGGATCAGGAATGTTATCCTATTTGGAGGACTCAGAAAATATTAAAAATATAACAGCAGTGAAAGAAACCAGAAGTATGATTTCAATTGTCATTTATTAAATGATTCATTTGTTCTTCACCTCATTCATTCATCACATCATCAAGCATCCAAGAAACATATGACTCATTAGGAAAGACAGGCAAGGAAATGGCTCACCACAGTGTAAGACAGAATGTAAGTGCTATGACAAAGGGATGAAAATCATGTTGTGGGAGTGCAGAGAGAATTGAGCATAGTGATGGACAATGGGGAAGGCTTTATGGAGCAAGGGGTATACACATGCTGGCAATTGGAGTGCTAGAAATGGAAGTTTGGGTAAGAAAATCACCACAAATCTTCTAGCAAAGGTCTACCAAACTGTCTGTTGCAGCAAAAAAAGAGGATATGAGATTAGAAAAAACATGTCTATTATATGTGGTTTGAATGTTATAGAAAATGGAGTACTGTGGAGCTTAAGTAGCCCTCGGTAGAGTAGTCAAAGGTATGGTAGCCTGGACACCTTTTACAGCAGCAGTTTTAGCATACCATATCTCAAATTCACGCATTTGGTCTTAAAAGGGGTAGAAACTAGCTAGAAGAAATTAGGAACTAAGAGATAACTACTTATTGGCACAATCTGTAATGTTCCATTAAGATTTTGAAGTTAACAGATCATTATTATCGAATAGATAGCATTCCTTACTAATGCTGTAGGTATGTCCAATGTTACTGATGTGGCTATCTATCTATTCATGGTGTTCAGGGGCAACAACACTTGTGGACTGTTCTGTATTGTTCAAGGTGAAGCTTTAGGGAAAGGAAGAAGAGAGACTGATCATAATAAGAGATAAACAGAAGTGGAGTAGGTTGACAGTGAAATAATAAAGAATGACCTAAATCATAATGCCACATTTCGCAGCATTTTTGTATGTTATAAAGAGTTTTCACATAAGGGTCTAGGTAAATGGGTGATGTTTTTATTTTCATTTGACAAATAATAATCAATTGATTATTATTTTGCATTCCAGTTAGTAGGCAACAGAGGCCTCACATGAACTAGATCGTGTTCCCTTGCTCCTTTCATTAGAATTGTTCCTGTGGAGCCTGAGTGGCTGTCAGTCAGAGATGCTCTGGTCTAGAGGGGATTTCTACCGCAGGTTGATTTAGATGTTGTTTCACATCCTTGAAATTCTAAGAATCCCTGATTCTGTGACAAAAACTTCAACTCGGGAAGGAGCCTGTGAATTGTGCAGAAAATGTTGGTAGATTTGGAAAATGTTCTGTTTGTAGAAGGAGCAGAACTTGGACAGATGCTGGCTATACAAGGAAAAAGAGGAAAGAAAGTAGAACATAATTCAGAAATTTATCCTTTGGTAAGTTAGGTTAGTTGTGTATTAAAGAAAATTCACATTTGAAGACTCAGTTAATGATTAAAATGGTGCCCAAAGTCTCATTTAGCAAGACACTAAATAATATAAATTATTATTATTATTTTAATATAATACATATATTTTTGAGACCGAGTCTCGCTCTGTTGCTAGGCTGGAGGGCAGTAGCGTGATCTTGGCTCACTGCAACCTTTGCTTCCCAGGTTCAAGTAGCTTTCCTGCCTCAGCCTCCTGAGCAGCTGGGATTACAGGTGTGCACCACCACACCCAGCTAATTTTTGTATTTTTAGTAGAGATGGGGTTTCACCATGTTGGTCAGGCTGGTCTCGAACACCTGACCTCGTGATCTGCCCACCTTGACTCCCAAAGTGCTGGGATTACAGGCGTTAGTGATGTCTGACTGTAACTATTTCTCTTCATTTCAAATCTTAGGAATTTTTTTTTCTATTTTCCTTATGTGTTTACAAAAACACATTTTGATAACTGCAAACCTCACATTCTGTCCTTGACATATTGTAATTCTTTCAAATATGGAAAAAAAAGTATAACTGTTGTAGTACAATCACTTGGAAATATCTATTTCCATTAATTTTTCAGGGCTTGCCTTTGCAGGCTTCTGTAACCGTGACTTCAAGGACAGCAACTCCAAGGACAGTTGCCAGCTGCAGTTTGCATAAGTTTAGCATAGTCTTAACCCAGTAAGCATTGTGGATCTCAAGGGCTTCAGTCTTCTAAACCTCACAGTTTATATGGCAACCATTTGAAAGAGAAGCTGTAGAAGAGGGGGAAATACACAGACACGCTCACACACAAACACACACACACACACACACGGTAATTTAAACACTTAATTGTAAGCTAATTGTGACTGATTTTTCTTCTTAGTCCCTCGTCACTTTTGCTGCATACCTCTTACACCATTTTAATCCACTGCCTTGGAATAACCTATAATCATTAATTTTGGAAGCAACTAAGAAGGAGGTGATGAAAAAAATGCTATTTCTTTGTAGTTTTATCTTTATTAAAAACACAAATTTAAGGCATTCCTGAAACTATATGTAGGAAAAATTGTATGTATATAGATAGATATAGATGTCTGTATAGTCGTTTATTTCTGAGGTTTCAGAAGAAAAACTCTCATTGGTAAAACCCATCTACCTTTTTGCTGTATTACTGATAAGTCTCTTTGGTAAGCCATTCAGCCCATAGCCAGAGTGCTGGCAGTCTAACCATAACCAAAGAATACATCCCATGCCTTTCTTGTTTTTAGCCCTTACATTGCTGCTGCTCTCCTGAATATCCCCAAGGTCTAAAAATACTTAGATAATGGAGTCCTAGGTCTGAAAGCTTCCTCAGAAATTATCTGGAAAACCATTGTGCTAGAAAATGCATCTGTCTATATCTATTTCTAAAGCACTAAATCCAATTTTGGGGCCTCCAAATGAAAATGTTCTATTTTTTATTCTAGCTGAGACTCTCTGATGAAAGCTTACTCCACAGGGATACTATATTGAATGCTAGATAGCAATGCTTTTTACCAGATAAAACTATTTCCCCAATCCATTCTACAAAAGTTTCTTTTAAAAATTAATTTTCTAGGCCATGGACAGAAAACTCTGTGATGCTTCATGACAATCAGAACAGTGCCTCTAATGGGTTATTTCTTCCTGTAAGGGTATTTTTGAAAAAAAGAAAATAAAAATGCATTAGTCAACTGAATTTCTTTTATGTTGAGGTTGGAAAAGAGAAGCATAGGTTAATCTGAAAGGGGGAGCTAGATGTGGCTAGCAAAGTGATGTGTCCACTACAAAAGGACTTTACTATGTTTTAGACTTTTTCAGCATAGATTTTTTCCCTAGAAACTTAAAGTTTATAGGCCAATGGACGAGATAAAATGCAAATGAAAAGATCCCCTCTCTTTATTTTCCTAATAAAAATTAAATATGTTTTACTCACAAAGCATGATTTCCCACCAAAAGGACTGCCATGTTCCACATTTCCTAAAGAAAATACCCAAAAGAGCTCACGTTTCCTTTTATTAATTTACCAACTTGAGAAAAAAAATTATTTCCTCCAAAATTTTAGTGCCTAAGATTACTGGCTATAGAAAGATAATTTAAGTAAGTTCAAAAAACTTTCTTAGAAGTTCTCGAGGTAAATAAAACCTATATGTCAGGAAGCAAATACCTGACATTACGCAGTGGCAAAGTCAGCTGAGATATTGTATTATCCACCTAGAGGCTTGAGGAAATTTTATTTTCTTTAATGCGTTTGCTCAATAGAACATGCTATAATACTTCTAAAGCTATTTGAAATGAACGGATCTAGAATCCCAGAAGAAGAAAAATGCATTTAACACATTGGAGATTGCATCCTGAAGACAGCCTTTTGTGTCAAAACAGAATTGACCGGGAGAAGATTGAAACAGCTCACTCGGTTGAAGATGGGTAAAATAATTCCAATGGTTAGGAAAATAAACTGCCCCCTCATCCTTTTTCCTGTTATTCCTGACTGCCCTGTCTTATTCCAGAAAATATTGAGATGCCTGATAGTGATCATAAAGCATGAGATCGCTAAGAAAAACATAGTCTAAATTTTTTCAACAAACTTTTTTTGAGGGTTATATCTATTGAAGTCTCAGCAAGAGATAGCACACTCCAAAGGGCAACTGAAAAGACTTCACTGGAGAGACTGTTTACAAATCGTGGGCAGGGCTCAGGGAACCAATGGTAATAGTGAAACACTCAGGAGTTCGCTAGCAATAGCAGAAAGCCATTACCATCCTTAGGCCAGAAAGGACAAGGGAAGATAACAATTACATATTGGAATCCAGTGAGAGCTGCAGCCATGCGGAAAGGGTCCCAGAAGGAGCTGAGGCCTTAGGTATGGGGGAAAGCCACTGCCAAACCTTGGACCACCAGGCAGAACACAGAGAATAAATACCTTAGCCTCTGTCTCCTTCTATCCTCTTTTCTCTTATTGGCTTCTCCCATTGACGAAACCCAAGTACAAATTGGAATGTAATAAAACTTGGCTGAAGCAACCTTTAGAGTTTACTTCCCAGGGCACAAAGCAGGATAGATAAGCCTGTAGAGTTGATCTGGAAGGGCAAAGATTATCCAGCACAAGTAGCTACCATATGCCAGGCAATGTATCAAATTTAGCATCATTGTTTTCTCTCGATCGTATAACTAATTAGGGTGGTAGATTAGGAGGAAGTTATAGAAAGAATAGATTCTGATTTCTTAAAACAATGCACAAATTTTCCTGTGACAGCGTTTGTTGTTGTTGTTTTGGTGGCTTTTTTTGAGACAGGGTCTCACTCTGTCACCCAGGCTGGAGTACAGTGGTGCTATCATAGCTCACTGTGGCCTTGACTTCCTGGGCTCAGGTGATCCTCCCACCTCAGCTTCCCAAGTAGCTGGGACTGCACTGCAGGCGTGAACCACTATGCCTGGTTAATTTCTCTATTTTTAGTGGAGACGGGGTCTTGCCATGCTGCCGAGGCTGGTCTATAGCTTCCCAAGTAACTGGGACTGCACTGCAGGCACGCACCACCATGCCTGGTTAATTTTTGTATTTTTAGTGGAGACAGGGTCTTGCCATGCTGCCGAGGCTGGTCTTGAACTACTGGGTTCAAGCGATCTGCTCGACTTGGCCTCCCAAAGTGCTGGGATTACAGGAGTGAGCCACCACTCCTGGCCTGTGATAGGGCCTAAAACACTCTGGTAGAATGTTTTCCCACTCTCAGATGCAAGTTATTGAGGAACAATAGCTTTCTTATTTGTCTTTGTTTCTTTAGTGTCTGGTGCAGAGAATATATTCCCTAAGCAGATGTTGCATTTGTGAAAGAACTTTAAAGACATTTAGTGTGAAAAAAAGGCATAGGGAAATACCCAAGATAGTTATTCTCAAGTATTTATGAGATTGTGCCATTATATTGGAGCAATAGTACATTTTTGTTCTTTTAAGACACACCTGGGTTTAATGTCAAGAAGTTACATGGAAGAAGAGGTTTTGCACAATTTAAGAAAATTCTGAAGATTAGAACTCTCCAGCTGGAATTAGAAAATTAGGTGAAATAGGCTGACTCTGTTACTGGAAATAAACAAGAGGACAGGCTGGCTGCATGCAAATATTCCTCAGGAAGGGATCCCTGCATTGGATGTGAGGTGTTTTGTTTTTTGAAATTATCGTTAGATTCCACATGACCTGTGTTTACATTAGATTCCATGATTTCATAAATTTTAAAGACTGATTTCAACTTTGTGAGTCTAGAATTGTTTTAATTTCTAAGACTACTTCCTGTATACTCATGTAGCAGCATTTTAAATGTCAACAGTTTTAAACTTTCCTTTCTTGATTAGTTGCATTATTTTTGGGTGCATGGTTTTATTTTCTGTTAAGTAGATTGAACATTTGTTTACAGAGAAGCAGGATGAACAGCAGCTCAGCACCGTCTCCAGAACCAGGCTGCTTGAGTTCAAGTCTTGCCTTTATCACTCACCAGTTTTGTAAGCATGAGAAAATTATTTAACTTTGCTCTGTCACAGTGCATTTATCTGTAAAATGGGATAGCACCAGTACCTACCAAGAAGTTTGTTATCAGGATTAAAGGATTTGATACCCATAAGAAATTAGGATAGTGGCAGACACTGAGCCAATACTGAATTTACTGCTACTGCTGCCGTTATTACTACTACTATAGCAGGACTTATATTACTTATGTTCATCAATTACATATGTTATCAAACTCTAAATATATTATTCACTTTATTCACTTTTATTTCATATGATTCTGCCTACTTAGTTAACCCAATTTAACCTTGGCCTATATATTGCATGGTAAACTTTTTTTAAAGTTGATTATTTCTTCATAAATAATAAATCACATTGATTGTAGAAAACTAAAAATTATAGAGATGTTAAAGGAAACCCTCCTAGAGAAAGCTCTCGTTAACAAGTTACTATATTTCTCTCAAGATTTATTATTACGCACATGCACATATGTAATGTATATTAACATCTATCTATCTATCTATCTATCTATCTATCTATCTATCATCTATCTAAATATGAGGTGAAGGGATGAGACTATACATACTGGTATTTTTTCACTCGAAAATAAATTTGACTTCTCTTGTAAATAAGCATTGTCTGCTTTGTTTACCTTAGCCCAAGAACTATGCCCAACTACTTTGCAGTCAGTAAACATTCAAGAAGTGTATTTTGAATAAACAAATATACATTTTGGGTTGCCTTTTAATGATAGAGTAACATTCTGTTGTATGTATATACTACAGTGTATTCATAATCTATTGTTGGAACTTAGGCCGGTTTCAGTTTTCGTCATGATAAATGGTAAATATCCTTCTTTGAACACATTTGGATATTTTACCAAAAATTTAACTAGATTCAAGTCATAGATGTGAATTTGTGTGTTCAAAGTCATGTACTTTTCAAGGCAATATGTATTTCACTTACTCTCCAGAAAGATTTTTATGGCCGATAATATTGTTTTTAAAAATTCTGTTATTTCATAGTAACTAAAAGTAGTTTCATTTTCTATCTATCATTGTATTTGTATAGTGAATTAATTTTCTGTCTTTCATGTCAATTTCAGGATATGTTAATTTGCTCCAAGAGACTTCAACCATTTCTCTAGCTTTCCATTATGTATATTTTATGTACATGATGCTTCCCTGATAATTACTTAGTGCATCTTTAATTTCTTTTAATATACTGAAATGTTTAACACATTGGTTTTTATTTTCTAATCTACAAGGAATAATTAAGATTCTTACTATTTATCTATAACATTTGATAAGGAAGACATGCATAATTTATTCTTCTGTGCTCCACTTATCTCTGTATTGAAATAGCTTTGAGCTATTCTGTATATCAAAGTATTTATATTAAGAATTACTTATTATAGAAGCATATTCATAATTATAAATTTTGTGCTTGTTGTGACTATTCAGATCTCATCTGAAACATTAAAATCAATACATAATGTAACATATTAGAAAATGAAACAGTGAAATCTTTCCCATTTCCTGATTGGCCTTTTTACTTCACACAGCATTTTCAGTTTGAGTTTCTAGGTAGGTTTGCTATCATATTCTCAAATCACTGTTAGGTTTTGCAATCTTCTAGACAGAACCTAAAACATGATCTCTATTTTTAACCTGAAAGTGAATTTCTACTTTAGATTGTTTAAAAGTTTCATGACATCCTTTGAGGTTACTCTAAGTACAGCTGAGATGATGTATGAAGGTAGCTGGGAGTCACAGCTTCAGACCTATTTGTTGATGCTTGTGGAAGGTGAAATGTAAATTACAAATGCCCTTAAAATTCAGACGCATTGTATTTCCTGCTCTCTCTTTGTCTGACTGGACCATTAAGCTATTGGATGCAAATTTTGTTACATATAAATCTTTGAAAATCCACGTTAATCTTTGCAAATCCAGAAGGCGGAAAAATGGTTGCTGAATGTAATAGGTTACATTTGTTTCTGTACTTGCTCTGAGTTTACCGAATCTTATATTCTTAATATTTTAAATTCAAATATAAAACCAAATATCAACTCCAGGAATAGGCCAATAAAATATACTTAAAAACACCTTTAAATAGAATAAGTAAAATTGTTCTCAAAGAAAATTCATGATTTTGGTTTATGGTATCATCAGATATTTCTCTTTATTTTATTTTCACTTTGACCTTTTTATTATTTTTGAGTTGTTATTATTCAACTTCTGAGTCCATTTGAATTGGCAACAAAAGCCAAGTTTTCTGAAGCCACATTTTCCAATAAAAGATAGACACTGAATATATTAATAGACTAAATTTTGATAATTTGACAGTTGCAATCAGACAAGTATTCAACAAAGACTTACCAAGCATTTATTATGTGGTAGGTATGGGGGGGTCCAGAAATTAAATGAATTTCTTCCTCTTAAGCAATTGCTTATGAGGAGAGAAAGATAATTATGATAACATGTAATGACTCCTCTATTACAGGTATATTGTGATTGCAAACACAAAGAATGAGTATCTATTCAGCATCAAGTCTCAGACTGACTTGAACTTGCGATTGCAACACAAAGAATGAATGTCTATTAAGCATCAAGGCTCAGATTGACTTGAGCTAGGGGCTGAATGGGGATCACACGAGTGAAGAATGAAAGGTGAAATAGGGACCACCCAGGTAAAGAATGCAGACCAAGGGCAGTGTGGGTAGAGAACAGAGCATGTGCAAAGGCACAGAGCCATGAGAAAAAGAGGCATGTGTGGCATTGGAGGTATGTCGAGTGGTAAAGTTGCACAAAAAGATAAGATTCTGTTTCTGGAAGATCTTGTATGATGTTGCATTTCTTGAAGCTAAAGGTGAGGCATGAAAGATGTTAAGCAGTGGAATAGTGTGATCCAATTTATGCATTTGGCTATCGCTCTGGCAGAATCAGAGCTTGTAAAGAATCAGTGAAGGGGAAAGAAGGACACTTTGTAATAATTCAGTCAAGAGCTGACAAGAGCTGGACTGGTACATTGGCAATAGAAATGGAACTTTGAGAGCAGGTTTGAGGGGTATTAAGGAGGTAGTAAAGTTAGGACTTAGTGAGGAATTTCTTACTTGGGCAACTGGATAAGTGATGAGCTGTATTGTGAAATGGGGAACACAGAAATCAAGCAGATTATAGCGATGACTAAATCCAGATTGAACACACTGAGCTTGAGACACCAGTCATACATTCAGTAGAGGTGTTTGTAGGAAGCTGGGAATATGGATTTGGCAGGGTAGAAGAATAGATTCTGGAGATAGTAAATGAAATAAAACTGAAAACAATAACCTAATATTGGAATGAGAGCCCTTTCCCATAAGTTAGACTAGGACAGGATGAAATCACATTACTTCAGTTCCAGTACTATGCTTTAGACAGAAAAGCTGTTGTTTAATTCCACATAGAAGGTAATGAGGAGGTGCTCTCAGTGTGTCAAGGACGCCAATACAACTGACAGCACAAAAGATCCATGGTGCGCTTCCTGGATGATTAAAACATGTTCTTATTCTTTGCACTCTTTGTTTTGTGTTTTATCCAGAGAAGTAGAATGGCCCAAAATGTGACTTGAGTTTTTTTTTTTTCTTTACTGTTAAACAAGAGGCCCCATCTGTTAAAGCATAAATGTCAAGGCGAGGATGTCAAATATGTGTGGTGTGTATAAAGAGGAGCCACCATCTATAAATTATAATGCTCTGGGGCTTCTGTCAAAACACCACACCTTCAGATTTAGCAGCAGGCAGTTTTCAATTTATTAGCATTTCATTTCAAGAGGAAGGATAAAACCTCCATGAGATATACTAATAATCAAACTGTGCATGCAGGTTGATGAAAATAACATAAAAAATAGGCAAGCAGCCAATCAATAATTTAAGAATAGGGAGGCATCTTAATAACTGAAGGTAGCTGACAAATGAAAAAAGAAATGGCCATTCCAGCAGAACTAAATTGACAGGGTAGATAAGATCTCTCTGCTACATAAGACAGATCTGGCCAAATCTGGATTTGGGATAAATATCTTCTTCATGTTTTTTCCTTTGTAATATTCTTTTTCAGTGTGAATAAAAACCCTGTAGCTTTCTTTAATCCAATGTTCTGTTTAGACAAGCTTTATTATACCTTGTTAAGCAACTCCAGGGCAAAGGGAACATTCATTAGTGGTTAAAAAAGTTTATATATATATATATATATATATCTGAATATATACATATATAACTAAATATACATATCAATCCTGAAAGAAAATACACAGTAAATTGAGAGCCAAGCAATTAAAAATTAAAATGACTACGATATGTGATATTTTATTTGCTTATATAGAAAATTATAGAAATAACCTCATACTTAAAATTCTGTTTTTCTAAGGTTCATAAATTATGGGTATTTATCTGTCCATTTCTGTTGTTTAAAATTAAGGCAAAAGTAAGTATCCTGGAATAGTGATAGTAGTTGTTTCCAGTAAGTCTTGAATGGCTCAAGAGATGAGAAATTTTATAGTACAGCCGAAATTAGCAAAGAATTATAGGACTAAAAATACATAAAATTTAGAAATTAAAGAATATGTCAGTAAGCTGCTAAATTTATCTGTAGCACGTGCATTGGGCATCTGCAGCCATCTAGAAAATTGCTAGAGATGAAAAAGAAACTAAAAGAAAACCTCTTGAGGAGACTAAATGGAAAACTCCAGGCAATACGTTAAAGCTCACGTGCTGTTTACAGTTAAAAGTGCTATTCTGACTTATACATGATTGTGTACTTTTTTCCCACCCAGAAGAAAAATTAGAAGTGGTAAATATGAAGTAAAGTGTCTATTGGAAAGGAATTACATTTTAGTAGAGAAATAGAGCAGAGGATGGTTGGGGTGGTGGGGGCCACGGAGAGGAATAACTCACATAAATCTAGTCAATAAGAATTCTTAAAATTAAAAGGGGGTAAGGCCAAAGTTTCACCCATTGAGTACCAGATGTGGGACCTGAAACACAGTTTTTTTTTGTTTTTTGTTTTTTGTTTTTTTTTTTATGAGACCTAGATTTTATCCCTTGCTTGATCACTTACTGGCAATGTGACTTTATGGGCAATGTGACTTTATGGGCAAAAAACAGGGACCTCTACAGGGCTGAGTTCAACAGAGAGTCAGAAGTGGCAGGCCAATTATGGAGATGTCCTATTTATAAAATCATAATACTAGTGCTACATTTCATTGATTCCAAGGAGCATATATGTCTGCATTTTAATAGTTAATAGAGATGTGTCTTATTATTTAACATTTAACATGATAATTTAATATTAACATTTAATAGATATACATCTTACCATTGATGGCATCTTGCCATTGCAGAGAGCTGGGCAGCTTTTGTGATGGTTGTGACTGCCTGCCTAAGCACAGACTTGGTTCCTGCTGTCATGACTGGACAGCTACAGCCCATCAATGATGCAGTCGACCAATCAAATAAGGAAGAAATATGTGTCTTGGTTGTTGTCTTAAAGCCTTTTATTGGCATCTTCTTGCAAGATCAAAAAAGCACCAGCATCAAAACTTGCAAAATAGCTGTTACTGGCTTGAAAGAAAATTTCTGAGACAGAAGGGGGCACTCTTCTGTGAAATGTACCACCCATCATCCTAATGGCACAGAGATTGCATTGGGTAGAAAAACAGGGACCTCTACAGGGCTGAGTTCAAAAGGGAGTCAGAAGTGGCAGGCCAATTATGAAGATAATTGAAAAAGTTCTTTAGCCAATTTACCTCACTTCTGTTACATATTTTAAGTTGCACAGGAGTGATATATAGGATACAAATTTATCCTTAAATAAGTCTAAAAGAACCTTTAGAGTAAAAATTGTTGGCAATAAATCTTTGTGTTTAATTGGCAACTTTTATTTCTTTCTTAGTGCTACATTAAGTAGTGGTGTCTTACAATCAGTGGCATCTTATATTTAATGAAATATGGTATTTGAGAGAGTTGAAGAGGTTACAAGAAAAATGAAAGTGATTTGCAAGACTGGAAAACAATGACAGTATTTTGGGCAATTACAGTGAAAAGAGATGGTTGAAAGCTGGCTGAGGGAAGACATAAAAAATGGACTCTAAATCAAGGTACTTCTGTACAGAAATACTCAAAGATTACAATTCTATTCTTGCCTTTGTTTACATTTTCTGGAGCCTTGCCAATTGCTACTAACATAGAAAAAAAGAAATAAAAATGTCAGCATTGGTATATGCATCTGCGGAGTCAATCGTGGAAAGCAGGTCACTTTAGTATGTTTACTTGCAGGACTTCTATATGAAAAAGAATGCAGATCACTGTATTTTACTTTAAGCATTTATAATATACCTTTGAATATTAATATTAACTTACTTTATAAATGCAACTGGGTTCAACCTAAAAATATAAATACCAGTTACATTTTGTTCAAAGTAAATACTACCGATACTACAAATTTAATAAATGATAATGTAGTATTTACATTTTGGAAATAGTATATACAAAGACCTTTAATTTTGCGTATAAAATTCTTGAAGTCTGGGATACATTTATAATTGTTATTATAAAACAGTACATATAAATATATACTATTTTGCAATCTACTTTTTAAACATAGTATATTATATAAGTATGTATAGCAGATTCTGTCTCTTTTTGTGACTGCTTTGTATTCTATTGCTTAGATATGCCACAATTTATTTAACTAATACTTTAATAATTGTTCTAAAGATAATTAACTGCTTGCTCTCATAAACAATGTTCCAATAAACAATTCTTGCAGCTTCATTTTTGTACACATTTGTTTAGGTTTTCCTTAGGGTAAATTTATGCATATGAGAAATTGATACATTAAAAGATATGTAGGCTTATTTTGTATTTGGGAGTACAGAATTGTTTTTTCTCCAAAAAAGCCATATAAGATTGTGTTTGCCTAGTAGTATTTTGTACAAGTGGAAATAATTTTACAGCATAGGTTAAAAACCTTATAAACTATAGTAGATTTACTATTGAAACCTTGTGGATTTAAACATGGAGTTGAAATTGCACCCTTCAGTTAGACAAGCAGGAGATGGTTAGATGTTTCTCATTGGGATGCTACTGGCATTTTGGGCAGGACACTTACAAGTTGTATGACTAGTTTGTGTCCTTCAGGAATTTATAATCTTGGCTCTGACTATTAAGCGCTCTGCAGTGTCATTGTGACAAAGGAAAACACTTTCATTTATTTTCAAATGCCTCCTGTGACCAGGGAACCCAGTGGCATGAGAATATTGTTCCAGGACTAGACAGGTTGGGGAAGGCTTTATTAAATTTAATAGGATCTGTCTCTCTCTTGCTATGCTTACCGAACAGATTCACTCTGGATATCTCATCCTGGGATATTCAATGCTTAACTACAAAACTTTTTGTAATCATCTAGGAATGCAGCCTTCTAGTTACAAAGTGTGGGAATCTCAAAGCTTGTAAAATATTGTAGTACTTTTTAAATCATTAGAATAAAAATATGTTGTAGGAATTTTTTTACCCTAGTTAAATAATTGCTTACCTTTCCTCCACCACAATATAAATTGTAGAGGCTATGGCTGAATGTGTTTGATATTTAGAATACCCAAGATCATCGCCAGGTCTAATTTTCACCTTGAAGCCCTGCTTAAAATACATACTGCTTCTGGCAAATTGAAATGCAAACATGACTAACAGCCTCCTTCTATCATATGAAAATTCTTTGTCCACATCCTTATCAAATCTGGTTGATAATAATGAATTTGGGTTAAAATTACAGCTCTGAGATCAAACTGTCTCAGACGTTCAATTTTTCTGTGTTTCACTCTCCATATCTGAAAGGTGCAAGAATAATTCCATAACTACTTCAAAGAATTACTTTTGAGACTGAGACTCATCTCTGACCTATAGAAAGCACTCAATGAATGTTTGTTATCACCATTAACTGTTACTGTTATTGGTGATGACTTTGTAGTGTGTAGCTTAGCTAGAAATAATGCTTCCCAGAATCCCCTTTCCTGCATGGCATGGGTTAGGGCTGACCACAAGAGAAATCTGTGTGCCCTTTGGAAGAGGAAAGTGAGGCAGCAGTCCTGTTTTGTTAGACGCTGTTGCAGCTCACATTTGCTGCCTGGGCTCTGCTGGCACCCCAATGGAGCAGGGCAGCATCAGCTTGGTCCGTAGACCCTCCAGCTCCTGTTTCTCTGACTACTGATAGATGTGTGTTAAGTTCTATGAGGAAGTATACCATTATTCCTCCCGGACAACCCATCATCAAAACTGGAGGTTTGGAAACAGTGAGAGATCAATGGGGTTTCTGGTTTTCTGGAGAGAGCTGTAGGTTCCCGCTCATCCTCATGAATTGTAGCATTTTCTTGTTTTCACATTCATCTTCCCTTTTGATTGCCAGCCCTGTTGACTACAGGCAGACTCGGCAACAGGCTTGGGGTAACTCACTTAGGCTGTTTAACCAGCTCACACAATCACATCAAGTCCAATCCCTGTATAGAGGCTCTGCTTCACCAGTCAAACCCAATACCTTGTTCTTGTTATTTTGCTGTTGTGATGGGTGAACATCCTAGACCCAAGACTCCTTTTGTTTTCATTTGTAATACTTTATTATTAGAAGCTCTGAATATCTTTTGGAGTGTTCATTGACCATTTGCATATAATCTATGTTTTGCCTATTTGTATTTTCCCAATTTTCCATTTATATTGTTATATAGGAGTACATTATAAGTTAAGGATATAAGAACTTTTGTAATATGTATTATATACGTTGTTTTTCTTTTTTTTTTTAACACTTAAGAAGTTTTGTTGAAAACGATAAAAACAGAAGCACCAGATTCTAATTTTAAAGTAAAATTAACAGCATCTTCCAGAACAAAACTTTATTTTTCTGCAATAGTGTTTCAGAATTTTTTTTTTTTTTTAGATGGAGTCTTGCTGTGTCACCCAGGCTGGAGTGCAGTGGTGTGATCTCGGCTCACTGCAACCTCCGCCTCCTGGGTTTAAGTGATTCTCCTCGCTCAGCTTCCTGAGTACCTGGGACTACAGGAACACGCCACCATACCTGGCTAATTTTTTAATTTTTTTAGTAGAGATGGGGTTTCATTATGTTTGCTAGGCTGGTCTCGAACTCCTGACCTTGTGATTCACCCGCCTCAGCCTCCCAAAGTCCTGAGATTACAGGTGTGAGCCACTGCACCCGGCCAAGTTTTAGATTTAAAAAAATAAATAAATCTGGTTAGTTATGCTACTTTATAAATTCTAGTCTTGACTCTGTGCCTTCCTCAGCCAGATAACAGATAAATATTTATTATCTTTTAATTTGAAGAAAATGTATCACCAGGTCCTTGATATGTTATGGTAGGAACTGTTATTATTCAGATAAAATGACTAATTATTTTGGTTACTGTTGGATGGATTTCCCTTATGAATATGCACAGTTCTGTAAATGACAGATGAAAACTACACAAATATTGCCAGTTTTACAGAATTAGAACAGCAGCTTTAGTAATCAGCAAAACAAAAGAAACAAAAACTGAAAAACAAATGTATTCTTTGTATTTTAATATTGTTTCCAAAGAATATTAAAGACAATATAGAGTATTAAGGACAATATTAAAGACAAGAATATTAAAGAATATTAAAGACAATATAATCTAAACTTCCAAGAAAGAAATTAAAGAATATTAAAGACAATATTAAAAATGAAAGAATATTAGACAATGTAATCTAAATTCTCAAAAAAGAAAATTTCTATCTTCTTTTCTTGCATAGGAGAGAAAAAATAATATCTTTTGCTTATCTATCTCAAGATTCATAGCTGAGACACCTATAATAAAAAAACAGATTAAGAAAACAAATACATATGAATTTATTTGATGTAAGTTTTATGTGACATGGAAACCTTCAGAAATAAACACCCTAAGAAACAGAATACAGAGAAGCCTGTGTATTTTATACTAAGTTTAGTGAAGAAGCGGATAGTTGTGAAATACAATTGGACAAAGCAGGTATGATCTAATTGTACTAAGTTGGGCCAGGGCCAGGGCCAGGAGGACTTAGCAAGGCCTCATTGTTTAGATTTTTCTCTGCATCCCTGTGTCTTCAGAGATAAGGACATTTCTTTCAGCTGGGTATTGGGAGGGTACCTCTTGAATAAGGGTCTCAGGACCTACTTTAGAAGAAGATCAGATAATTCTTTTATGGCCTGCTTCAGGGGAGAAAGGTAGGAGAAGGTCAGAGAAACTCTCCTGCTTTTGCTGTTTTCTCAAATGCCAAAGTGCCATATACTGGGGGTAGTGTGCCTTAAACCCCATCACTTGATAGCTCATTCTAGCTTCAGTTATTAGAAATTCTTCTGTGATTTCTATCTTGTTGGTTCTAGTTTTGTTATCTGGAGCCCTACAAAAGATGTCTAATATTTTATATTCCACTCTATAGCTTTTAACTTTTTGAAGACAGCTTTTGTAGTCTTAAGTTATATGTTTTCCAGTTCTTCAGTCATATTCATTTGTTAATTTATTAAACAGATATTTACTGAGCATGTATTATATGTGAAGGGATATTCTAGACATTGGTTATATTACGGTGAAAAATACAGACCCCGCTGTAATGGCGCCTATGCTCAAGCAGTTAAGAGCTCCTCATATTACATAATTTTTATACTCTTTAACACCTTATTGAGACTTCTATATTTATCCATTTCTTGTTTTTTGTTTTGTTTTGTTTTGTTTTTTGTTTAAGAGGGAGGGTCTTACTCTGTTGCTCAGGCTGGTGCGCAATGGCATCATCATAGTTCACTACAGCCTTGAACGCTTGGGCTCAAGTGATCTTCTGACCTCAGCCTGTAGATGGGACTATAGGCACAGCCACCACGCCCACCTAACTTTTTAGTTTTGTAGAAATGGGGTCTCTTTGTGTTGATCAGGCTGGTCTAGAACTTCCCACCTCAAGTAAAACTCTTACCTCGGCCTCCCAAAGTGCTGGGATTACAGACATGAGCCACCACACCTGGCCCAATTTCTTCTTTAAATGCTTTGCCTATAATAAACACAACATGATAGACATATGATCTAACTAGTGTAGCTATGGTGATGAACCATGTATTGTTTACCTGGAAATACTTTTCCGCTGAATGCAATTGCACTCCAACAAGAAAATCAATTTCAAATATAGAAGCAAGATGGGGTTAAATTTTACACAACAACACGAAGAAATGTTGTCTGATTACACTTCACAGAGTATCAGAATTTTACCTAGGAAAAGAATTTGAGACCAGAAGTCATTAACACTATAGAGGTGGTTAGACTGCAGAACTTTTTAGTAAACCATCCTGTAACAGAACTAGATTCTAAATCTTTTAGTATATACATAGAGGGTAGGGCTCTTACTGGAAGGGATCTGTCAACTAGATGTCTTTTTATTTTGCTTTAACTCTTATTTTAAGTTCCAGGGTACATGTGCAGGATGTGCAAGTTTTTTACACAGGTAAATGTGTGCCATGTTAGTTTGCTTCACAAATCAACCCATCGCCTTGATATTAAGACTGGCATCCATTAGCTATTCTTCCTGATGCTCTCCCTCCTGCCCCGCAATAGGCCCCAGTGTGTGTTGTTCCCTTCCATGTGTCCATGTGTTCTCAAATTTGATGTCTTTTTACTTTATAATTGACATGCTTCTTGTCTATGTTCTGCCCCATTTATATATATCATATAGTTTGAGGTTGTAGCCTTTGCATTACAATGACTCACACAAGTAGAATATGAGCCCATGCTTTCACCTATTAAAAACTAAAGTGATAATGGCTAAGAAATTATTAAAGGGATCTATGTCTTCAATAATGAGTATAAATGCTTATTGATGGAAAAATAGTGAGGCAGCTATCGAAGGAATACAATTTCCCATTCCATATTCCTACTAGGGCAGCAATTACAGGTTAGATTGTACAGTTTTTCTCACTTTTTCCTTCTCTACTTATGGTATTGAAAGTCGTTAGTTTAGAATGAGTTAAAATGAGAGAGAGGGTCATTGGATAAGAATTTGGATGCCTGCTACCTGTCTCTGAAGAGGAAAATAGAGAGCAGTTAACCGTAATTTGCAGTTCACTGACTTTGGCAGTAGCCTTTTGTGCTAAGAAACTTTCCTGGGAAACAAATGAAAACTCTAACACTTTCATACAGATTCCTGAAATGCTGGCAGAATCTGCTCATATTTCTATAGAAATGCCATATAAGTAGAGGAGACATTGCTTGGTATTCCATCAAGAAGCTGTTTTTCATTTCTTGAATAACTTCTTTAAGTTTCTCATGAAGCAAGCACAAAAATTTTCCCCTATAAAACTGAATAGGCAGAGGGTTTGTTCAACTATGCAGTTATACAAATGCCCATGCCACACTATTTTGACACATGGATGTCAAAATAGGTTAAGTTATCCTGAAACCATTCAAGTTTGCATGGCAGGAAATAAAATTTTACATTCTTTTAGTAATAGGTTCAAAGTAAAATATATCATTTAAAAATATTTTAAAACCTATTCAAAAATATGGCATTAAGATGATCATTTTAATGTTTATTTCCCTTTCTTTATTAATGTAGTATAGTATCCAATTATTAATATCTTTTATATTTGAATTTAAATGTTAGTTAAATTTTACTATTTAAAGATATTTTCGTTTTATAAAGATATTTATAAAGATATTTTCATTCATTCATTTTTTCATTCACCATTTAACAATTATTTACTGGCACTTAATATTCCCAACCAATGTTAGGCACCATTGATGCAATGCAAAGTTCCAATTATGGAGAAATTGGATAGGACAAAAATATGCAAGACTGTGGAATGCATTGGTAACAGATGAAATGGTTACTATCTGGGCCTGGAGAGCTAAGCAGAGATCACGAAGGTAACAAAGAGTTAGCACTTCACCCCTAGGATAGTGAGAAACCCTTAAAGGGCTTAAGCAGGGGATTAACCTGAGAAAGATCACTTTTGGGTGCTATGCAGAAAATGGATTGCAAAGAAACCAGAAGTACAGCGACTAGTTAGGAAGCTGTTGTAATAATTTAAGCAATGATGATAGTGTCCACAGTAGGAAGAGGCAGCTTATAGACAGGTCTTCTCATCAGAGAATATGTGTAAGGTCAAGAGGGAATAGACATTGAAATTGTTAGAAAAATAATCTTTAAGATGAGTTGAGGAGAAATAACCCACAAAGAATACTAGAAAGGGTGGCCAGAGAAATGGGCGTAAAACCAGAAGATTGTTTTGGGGGTGTCTAAAACAAAATGTCATACTGCATTACTTACATACCTGAGAAGAAAAATGCTTTCATATTTGTGTTAGGTGAAAATAAAGCAGTGGCTCACTTTTAAAAACAAGGCAAAGCATCCAATAAATTATCACTATTATTTGGTTGATTGTCAATAAATTAATAGTTTTTTTTGGGGAAAGGAATTGGAGCAAACCTCCTTTATTGGAGGCTCTGTTAGAGATTTCTTGGGGTTTGGTATCACTTTGCATAGGTAATGAGGCTAATCTATCAGCATCATCATGTTATTCCAGTGATGCAGTGATGATAAATGCAGAGTATGCGATAGTGCCAGAGCCTCTCTATAATTAATTACCATCTTACAGTTACCTTCAGACATTTATTAGAAACATTGAGACTTGGTTTTAGCAGTCTATCATAGTCGATTTGAGTAAGAAGCTTCTAAATCCCAGCAGTTGTTTTCATTAGTTGACAGATTATGAGAAATATGACCATGTGCTCTATGCAAGTCAGAAGAGCCAGATACACTTTGTTATCCCCAGGGTTCACAGATCTGCAGGGAAAAGCAGCAGCCACAAAATTAATAAAGGACTACTTTTCACTCAGACCTATATTTCAAATAACATTTTATGTATTATCTTTGTAGTTTTTATTAATAGTATCTAATATATATGAACAAAATGTGATTTTTACAGTTTCTGTCTTAGTTTAGGTTGCTATAACAGGACACCCTTGACTACTTGACTACACAACAATTTATTTATTGAAGTTCTGGAGGCTGAAAGTCTGTAATCAGGATGTCATCAGGGTTGGGTTCTTGGTGAAGGCCCTCTTCCTGGTTTGCAGATGACCTCTTCTAGCAGTGTCCTTCACATGTCTTTTCATAGAGAAAGGCAAGAGCTCTTTCTCTTCTTATAAGGCACTAAGCCCATCATGGGGGCCCCAACCTCATAACTTTATCTAAACCTACTGACCTCCCAAAGGACTCACCTCCTAATACCATCCCATTGGGGGTTAGAATTTCAACGTATCAATTTGGGAAGGATGCAAACATGCAGTCCATAAGAGTCACTATTCAGGAAATTCTTATAACAGTCCTGTGAAGTCAGTATTTGCAGTGTCTCCGGTTAACCAGCAAGGGACTAGATGCCTCAAAGTGGTTCTGTTTACCCATGTACAAGTGTGAGAACTTGACTTTGAATGTAGGCCTTTCAATGCTCTAGTCCTTGGTCATTTGACTTTTCCAGTGGTTTTAAAAAATGTGTTTGAGCCCAGAATGCTGTCTATTAAAAAACTTAATCTGGAACAGTTCCTACCCCTGTTTCAAAGGTTCTGATGTACCTTTTCAGAATTTTTATGTTTCTTCAAAGCTAATTTTAAACTATGTGCAGGCCCCTGAGCTTTCTCCTATTTAGGTGTACTGGGGCTCTAGTGCAGAAAAAGATGAAGCAAAGAAAAATCTAATTTAACATATTAATAATTTTTTAAAAGATTTATGTTTATTGAATACAATTCAGTATTGTCTAGAACTTTTTAAAAAAGTATATTTCTATCACTTAATTTATTTTAATTTTTAAATAATTTTAGACTAGAAAAGTTACAAAAATAGATCAGAAAGTTTTTGTATTTCCTTCATCCACCTTTCCCTAACGTTAATATCATACATAACCACAATTTATGTACTTACATAGTACATTTATCAGAACCAGGAAATTAACGTTGCTGCATTCCTATTAAGTAAACTACAGATTTTATTATTTTTTCACCAGTTTTTTCTGCTAACATTCTTTTTCTGTTCCCTAACCCAATCCAGCATCCCATATTGCATTTAGTTATTATAGTTCTGCTCAGTGTCCTCCAATTGGTGACAATTCCTCAGTCTTTCCTTGTCTTGACATTGTTTAAGAGTACTGATCGTTATTTTGTAGAATGTCCCTCAATTTGGGTGTGACTGATGTTTTCTCTTGATTAGACTGATGTTAAATGTTTTTGGCAAGAACACTACAGAAGTGATATTTTGCCCTTCTCAAGGAATTACAGCAAGGAGTGTATGAAGTCTTATTATTGGTGTTGTTGACCTTGGTCACTAGTTAAGGCAGTGTCTGCCAGCTTTTTCCACTGTAAAGTTATTATTTTTCTTTTTATAGTATCTTGGGGGAAAGATTTTGAGACTGTGCAAATATCCTGTTTCTCCTGAAGCTTTTATTCATTAATTTTAGCATCACAGGGTAGAACTTGCTAGAAGCTATTACTGTGGTATTGGCCTCATGATCATTTTATATTTCCCTCATTCCTTTTATATTTATTAATTAGAATTCTAAATGGAGGAGGCTACCCTTTCCCAGATTTATTGATTCAATTATTTGTATTTATCGGTATGGACTCATGGATATTTATTTTATTCTAAGGGTGTAATTGAGTATCATTGTTATTTATTTTATTGCTCAGATTATTCTGGCTTTGATCATTGGGAGATCCCTCAGCTGGCTCCTATGACCTTTTTATATGCTGCCTATCCCTCTTTGAGTATTTTCTTATGGAAAAACAAGATATTCCAGGCTCATCTTGTAGTGTCCCTGCCTCAGTCCTGGTATCAACCACTTTTCTAAGAGGACTGTTTCTTTTTTTGGAGAATATATTTAGAAACCAAGATCTGTGTGTTAGGTGTGTGTCATTGCTTCTAGGCCCTTTCAGTGGACAAAGCTTACAAATATATGTATGTATACTAACCCAGGCATACATGCATTTATATTTCTTTCTTTCTATACCTATCTGTTAACAAACAAACAAGTAGAAGTTTCTATTGAAACCTCAGCCATGGGTCTACAGCTAAATTGATCATATAAACTGTTCTAACTGAAAGCCTTAAATAATGAAATTTTCAAGGTTGCCAGCTCTAAGTGCACTAGGCTGTGAGTGAAAAATTTATGCTTTCTTTTCAGATTTGCCAGAAATCAATTGTGTCACCTTCATCTCTCCTTTTCTGCCACCTGAACTATAAAAGCAGAATAACAATGCCTGCCCTATCTAGGTCACCAGGCGGTTACTTGGATTTAATAAAAGTCTGGATTCTGTCTACCCTTCTCTGTATTCCTTCATTCCTAGTTTTCTTCTGTGCCTTCAGTCTTGTTCCCCTCAAAGCTTTCCTCTGCTCTGCAGTCAGAGTAATCTATCAGAAATTAAAATCAGGTTCCATTTCTATTCCTCTTTAAACTTTTCAATGACTTTTTATCTGCTAAGAAAATAAGACCTAACTTGACATGGCAAACAAGGCCCTCCATGGTCTGATTCTTTCCTCTTCATGAGTCTCATCTCTTGTTATTTTCTATTTCCTGTTTTAACTGTTTTAAACTCTAATATTACAATATTGCTTGAGATCATTTCTGCCGCCTTGCCAACAGCATTCTTTCTTCCAACTCTTTGCTTTTTTGATACTATTTGGCTAGAGTCAGATTGGAACACTCTCGACAGTGTCTTCTTACTTAGATTTTACCTACATTTCAAGGACCAATTCAGTGTCATGCTTCTGCCTACCTTGTTATGTACTTGGTCAATTCAGTAAGTACTTTATGAGGTGGATGAGTTGTCAATTCTTTCTGTTACCACTTCCTCAGTACCTTGTCTGACACCCAAAGCCACTGCAGTTTGTTTTTTCATTTTATTCCTTATCTAAAATTGCTCTTGATAAGGTCCTAATTGCCAAATCCATAGACAGTTCTCGATCCTATGTAACTTGACTCTAAAAGTATTGGACACTAGAGGTAATTGGTGGTTGCCATGAATAGCCCGTGGTTGCCATGCAGAGGGTCATAGTGGTGCTGCATGATTGTTGAAGAGGCTTATTTGGGAGAAGAGTGGTGCTGAGAGACAAGGGTGGAAGGGTAGACAAGGGCCATATCTTACAGAAATCAGGAGGTCACAGTAAGGTGATCACATTTATCCTGAGAACCACCAGGAACTGTGTAAAAGGTTTAAATGAACAAGCTTGTGTTTTAGGAACATAATTTATGGACATGAATGAATTTGGCAAAACTAGAAGGCAAGTGAAAATGAAATAGGCAAAGACTGGAAGGAAGGGAAATTAGGTTGTTGCATAATCCTGGAGTAAGATCATGCTTTATATAAACTAAGATAGCAAAAGCATGGGAGAAAATGGATGTATTAGAGATAGTAGATAGAATCAAATTAATCTGATGATGAATTGGAAGTGGGGGATGAGAGATAAGAAGAAATAATAGTTTTTGTTTCTTATTAAGTGATAGAGGAATTTCCTGAGATTGGGAATGTAAAAAGAGGAATGGCTTTGGAAGAATGAGATGGTGACTTTGTTTTTGGAAATGTTGTTTGAGATACTTGGGGACCATCTAAATGAAGCTGTCCCATTGGCAATTTCACATTTGTCTACAGCCTGAAACACATATGTGGGCAGGAGACACAGGTTTGGAAATAAGGGCATGTTGATGGTAGGTGAATTCATGCTTGTTGGTAAGATATCCCAAGATGTCTCCAGTGTGAAAAGGGACTCTCCTTTTTATCTTAGTGTGAACAGCAGCACCACCTACCCATTTTACCCGGCTAGAAACCTTGGAGTCATATTCAACTGTACTGTCATCACCCAGTCAACTCATTTTGATTCCATATCCTGCTTAAGTCCTCTTTATTCCAGTTGTCTTTGCTTAAGCTTGGGCTCTTAGAATTCCTTTCATGAGCTACTTATTGTTCTTGCTGGTCTTCAGACTGTCCACTTATGTGCTTTGTATCCTCAGAATATAACCTTATTCATACTAAAAATGTTAAGATATTTTTGAAAAGTATAAAGTGCTGAAGGAATATAAATTAATAAGTTTTACCTGAGGTCGAAATGCCAATATTTGTTTTATAATAATTTATGGGTGAAATTAAACAAAAAAAAATGGACATTTACTCCCTTTGTGGGTACCTAATGGCATCTATCATGAGTAGGAGAAACACTGCCTCTCAGAGTAAGTCTTGGAGAAATATCTTATTATTATCTGTGAGTGACATATAAAAGGTGATCTTGATAAGGGGATAAGAGCTGTTTTCCTGAGACAAGTGGAAGAAAGAAAGTCAGAGAGGACTTATCAGAGTAATTGTGTATTTTGCCCCAAATTTCTGACATGATATTAGAGGCAGAAAGTCACAAAATTGCAATGGCCAGCAGCCAAATTGCATCCTCTACCTAGTAGCTAGCTGCAAGATGGTGAGGAGCTTCTATGTATGCCACCTCACCACCTGCCAGGACCTGGTATGGAATACATAGTAGTTCTTTCATGAATGCTAAAATGGCTAGTAATTTAAAAGAATGGAGTAAGCAACAATTGTGGATATTGTAACATACTTAATACTGTGCACAGAGAAAAACAAAAAAGAGAAGATAAATTCCAAAGAAGAATTTAATCCTTTTGTGAGTTTGTTGAATGGCAGGACCTAGACAAAGGTAAGGGCAGGGAAAATATTAAAACTAATTTTGATTTAAAAACAGTGTTTTTTGAGTAAAATTTCTTAGCCTTATTGAGTAGATCTTTACTTTTGTCTGCTACTTTAAATGCTCCTTTTCTTTGTGTGAAACATCCAGAGACAACTTGTTTTCCTATAATGAGAGTTTTGTTTTCACACCGTCAGACAGAGGACACTCAGAAAAGCAGCAGAAAACAGATGTTTGATTCAGACTGTAAATGGCAACCTTGCTTATAAATATGGTGGGGTTTAGAATATTGAGATCAATGAATCACCACAGTAGTGTTGTAAATTTGGAGTAAGGTAATATAATGATATCTGTAACATTAATATTTGTTTATTCATTGATTAGCATATATTTATTGAGAAATAAATCTGCATCCGATGCTGTAATTGATGGAGAGATACCACAGTGTATAAAGCAAGGTCTCTGTCCTCAAAACACTTAAATTCTAAAAAGGGAGATTGACAATAAGTGGATATTAAACAAATATATATTTCATGTCAAGTAGTCATAGTTGCCTTAACGAAAAGTGAAGCTAAGTGTGGAAATAAAGAATAAAAGAGGAATTATTTTGGAAACGAGACAAAATGCCCAATAGGACATCTAAGTTCATTTGAAAGTCTTCCAAGTATTTTATTTATATATGTGGAGGGAATATCGTTTGGCCTGTGACACTGTATATTGCAATCCTTGTAAAAATGGGTTGCCTTCTCTTGTTCATTCTAAGGTTGTTGGCCCCTGATTTTTCTGAGCCCTAGTAGTGAAATTTCTTCAACAAAAATAACACAGAAAGATATAAATTGGCCGGCACGGTGGCTCATGCCCATAATCCCAGCACTTTGGGAGGCTGAGGTGGATAGATCACTTGAGGTCAGCAGTTTGAGACCAGCTCGGCCAACATGGTGAAACCCCGTCTCTACTAAAAATACAAATATTAGCCAGGCATGGTGGTGCATGCCTATTATCCCAGCTACTTGGGAGGCAGAGGCACGAGAATCACTTGAGCCCGGGAGGTGGAGGTTGCAGTGAGCTGAGATCATACCACTACACTCCAGCCTGGGTGATAGAGCAAGATTCTGAACAACAACAACAACAAAAAGATAGAAATGTATTTTTTTGTGTCTTGGAAAAGCCCTCATAAAAAATTGATGACCCCTATACAAATTATTGCATGGAATTATGTCCTTATTTTTTATTCCCAGCAGCAGGAAGTACTGTAGTGCTTGAATTAAAATTCTAAGTGCACTCTCAGAGGGCTGAAGGCCTGAGCCAGGAAAGACACTGTCCACTTTGGCTTCTTCAGGGTGAGGGGAGGCTGAGCAGAGTCCTAAATTCACCATGTATGCTCATCTTGGTTACATTTTACAGCACTTTACATTTGTAATCACTTAATAGCTACACTGGGGAAGTCTTTTAGGACTCAGTAAGAGCTGTCAATTTTCCCTTTAAAGAATGGTGATTATACTTCCACAGAGTCTAGGGGTAGCACTGTCAAATAGAAAGATAATGTGAGCCTTATAGGTAGTCTAAAATTTCTCAGCAGCCACATTAAAAAAGTGAAAAGAAACAGGTGAAATTAATCTTAGTAACAGTTCATTTAACTCAACATATCGAAAATTATCTTTTCAATATGAAATCAATATAAAATTTTTTTAATACTAAGACTTTGAAATCTAGTGTTTATATTACACTAAGACCATCTCAGTTTGAATTAGCCATATGTGAAGTGCTCAGTAGCCATGTATGGCTAATGGCAACCATAATAGCACAGTTCAAGAAGCTTTTATGTTTTGAATCAAGCTTCCTTTTATTTTAGTTTATGTTTTATTTCTGAACATATTTTAAGCCTCAGAAATCCTTTCCATTTCTTCCACATGTGTGCTCACAACAGATCTATTTTGATCATGGATGATATGGAGATGTATACTAACTGTGTTATTCCCACCTCCTCACTCCATCAGCTTTTGTCTGAAGCCAGAAGCAAATCAGGCTGGTGAATAATGGAACACTAACAATATTATTGATCAAAGAAATGTGCTTTGCAGATCTAAGCCATTCAGGATCTCAAACACATGACACTCAATCTGCAACGGCTCTCTAATTACAAAAGTCAATTGAATGCTATTGCTGAGAAAACAAGCAGCACAAAGGATCTTTGCTAGCTTAAATTACAAAGTGTAGTTTTGTGAATAACATGAGGCTCTCTCCTGGAGCCCAGAAAATAGATGTATAATGAAGAATCAGGCAGTATGTTACTCCACAACCCAGTATGTGTGCTCAAAAACTTTACTGGACAATTGTCATTTCAAAAGACTCAGCTCTAACAATGTTCTGCTTCTGAGTTCATTTATTCTAAATATCATAATCTTGAGAGAGAAAGAAGGATAGTTGGCTTGGCCCAGCTCACGTCAGGAGTCCACTGCTGGACCATTCAGCTAAGAAAAGAGTGCATGGTGATATACTAAAAATAATTATCGGAGGCCCAGCCTGGTAGATCAGAGGTCATTCTCAGAGAAGAAAGAATCACTGGTGCCAACAATGTTTTGCCCCAAAAAACAAAAGCCATAGGAGATGCTAACATGGAAATAATGTTTACGTTGCTAAATTCATGCCTTAAATTTTGTTTACTATACTACTGACCTGTGCCTGTTCATCTGTATTGCCAAGAGCATAGACAATGGTAGCATTTCTTTGTATGAAAGCCTCACAGTATTGACTGTATTCTTAGTTTTTCTAAGAGTGTAGAGCTAGTTACATTTCAAAATAATTCAAGTGGCAACTTCATTTAAACATAGATTTAAGAAAGCAAAGAACTAGTATAACTGTGAAGAATAAATTGAAATCTCAGGATATATCAAGTGAAAAACCTGAAAGACTACAGAAACAATATGGATTAAGAATGATTAATTATAAAAAGAGATCCTTGAGTCATTTTGGAGTGGATTCTTGCTTCTCCTTTATTCTGCTAAATGTTTTTAGTAGCAATGATGCAACCTGACATTATACTTACATTAATGTATACGTTTGTTTACTGTCTTCTTACCCCATTAGCATTTAAACTCTACGACAGTAGAGCCTGCTACCTATTGCCATATTTCCTGTGCCTAAAATAGTGTTTGGCACATAGTAGGCACTAAATAAATGATTGTTAAATGGATTCGTAGGTGAATAAAAACATTAAATTTTCTATTTTTTGTTGCTAGGACCAAATAAAAATGGCTTGTGGAGATTTAGAGCTGAAAATTACCTTGGGAGTTATTTTAATTATCTTACTTTAAAACTTAAATAATTGAAGCCCATGTAAAGGTGCTTTTGATTTAGGAGACTATAGGAAAAGATGAGTCCAACACAGAAAGCCAATAAATTAGTTCAACCATTGTGAAAGACAGTGTGGCAATTCCTCAAGGATCTAGAACCAGAAATACCATTTGACCCAGCAATCCCATTTACTGGGTATATACCCAAAGGATTATAAATGATTCTACTATAAAGACACATGCACACATATGTTTATTGCAGCACTATTTACAATACCAAAGACTTAGAACCAACCCAAGTGCCCATCAATGATAGACTAGATAAAGAAAATGTGGCACATATACACCATGGAATAGTATGCAGACATAAAAAAGAATGAGTTCATGTCCTTTGCAGGGACTTGTATGAAGCTGGAAGCCATCATTTTCAGCAAACTAACACAGGAACAGAAAACCAAACACCGCATGTTCTCACTCGTAAGTGGAAGTTGAACAGTGAGAACACATGGATACAGGGAGGGGAACATCACACATGGGGGGCCTGTCAGGGGTTGGGGGACAAAGGGAGGGAGAGCGTACAGGGCTTAAAACCTAGATGATGAATTGGTAGGTGCAGCAAAACACACGGCACATGTATACCTATGTAACAAACCTGTACGTTCTGCACATGTATCCCAGAACTTAAAACAAAATAAAAAATAAAATTAAAAAAAGAATAAAAATGTACTATGCTAATATCAAGTAAATTATAACTCATGTATTTATTGGCAATAAAATTTTATAACCACTACTTTTCTGGTTTCAACTCCTCACCAAGCACAGCTCTGCTCCAATCCCCCAAAGTACTGAATATGGACATGAATATAAATATAAAATATGAATATAAAAAGGTTATTCAAAAATTAAAATTTGGAGCATCTGAAAAGCACTCTCCAGAGGTTTCAAATATGTATTAAAATACATCAGTGTTTTCTGTGCCTAGGTTCTTTTCAAGCCAACATATGTGAAGCTTCCAGAAGATCAAGACATAATGTCATGAATTCTGTGCTTAAATGAGGCCCACCTGATAATCCAGGATAATCCCATCATCTCAAGATACTTAGCTTAGTCACTTCTGCAAAGTCTCTTTTACTATGTAAGGAAATATATTCCCAGATTCCAGGGATTATTATTACATGGACATCTTTGGGCAGGGATGGCAGGGGGTGGTCATTATACTGTCTACCTTACATCTCTACTAGAACAATCTACAAATTGACCTCTTCCTCTTCAGACCTGTAAATGGCTGAGTCAATAGAAAGTTGTATTAGTCCATTCTCATGCTGCTGTAAGGACATATCTGAGACTGGGTAATTTATAAAGAAAGGAGGTTTAACTGATTCACAGTTCTGCAGGGCTGAGGAGGCCTCACGAAACTTACAATCATGGTGGAAGGGACGCAAACATGTCTTTCTTCACGTAGCAGCAGCAAGGAGAAGTGTAGAGTGAAATGGGGGAAAGCCCCTTATAAAACCATCAGCTCTCATGAGAACTCACTATCACAAGAACAGTATGGAAGTAACTGCCCCCATGACTCAATTACCTCCCACTGGGTCCCTCCCAAGACATGTGGGGATTATGAGAACTACAATTCAAGATGAGATTTGGGTGGGGACACACCAAACCATATCAAAAGTCAAACCCAATATTGTGTTTAAACAACAGCCAATAATCTCTTTCATTTATTTTTGAGTTTCAGATATTTTTTCTAACCATTTGAAATCCGGTTATATTTTAGGGGAGTGTTATAAAGGCAAAAGTCACTAAGAACAACAGAAAAGAGATGCATTTCTAGAGGGTAAGGTTATCACTTGGAAAAAAATGCTCTGGCTTAAATTTGTTAAATAATTTTGTTAAAAAGGTCTCGTGGTACTGTTGTGGAGGTTATGTAGGTACATCAAGAGATGTGGAAAATGTGCCAAAAGAGTGAGCAGTACCCATAAATCCCTATGTCCCACACTTTTGAAAAATGATCAGCACATCACAAAGAGAATGCTCAGAATAACAGCTCAATATCATAGGAAGAGTAAGTCATAGCAGATATTTTAAGAATGCTTTCTATTTTTGAAAGACTTCTTTCCAAAAAAAAGTTAAAAAAGTTGAACAGTTGTGATATAAAGCTCCATCATTAACTAATGTGTTCATTAATACTCAGTGTTGTCACAAAATTTGACAAATATATTGGAAAACTACTATTATATTTCTAGCATGTGTAACTTCATTTGTGACCTGGCTTGGAGTGTCAACTTTGATTTATAATATTGTTTATTAATTAATTTTTAGAATGTGAACTATTTATTAGATGGAAACTATTCTATACTTGTATCACATAAATATTTTAAAATTAAAATTAAGTGAATATAAAAAATGAACATTTTGTATTGAAGTTTTATGGATAACAATAAAAACCTCATGCTGCAGCAATGCAGCCTATTACATTTTATGCGTGTGGTTGGTTTACTGCACTCATAGTGAAAACCATTCTTGTAGATCCTTCTACATGTTGCATCTACTTATTTATTGGTAAGCTGATGCTTGTTCTAGTGGTTACAGGTTTGTGCCTTACTGCTTTCTCTTCCTGCTTGAAGTGAAAGGTAAACAACAGCATAGGATGGGTCAAGACAGCCCAAGTCTGTTTCTCTTAAAATCTTCCACAATGCAAAAGTAAGGTCTAAGTGGCCAGCCGTTATGAATGCCACTAGAGGCCTCCTTAATGGCTGCTGAATATCAGACACTTCAAATCCAACTAACATTTATACAGTAAGTAGCTTGTCAGCAATGCAAACCTTCTGGGAGCTATGAAGTGAGTACACAGAACACTGGGTTTGCAGGCATTTCTTAGGTTCAGCTGATAAATATTTAATCATATTGAGCACTTACAGAAAAATGTAAAACCTTTGCTGAAAATCCAGTTTTAATAATTAGGGCTCCTTGTGCATTCTTATTCTGAAAGTCTTTGAATTTATCATATTAAATGGGTAACGAGAGAAAATAGGTTTTAAGTCTGTTACTGGAAATTACTTGGGATTTTTTTGGTGGGTGAACAATAAGTGTAATTGTCCTTGACAAGATCCCTTGATCTGCTACTAGCAACTGGCAGAAAGCACTCTAATGTTCTTATTTTATTCCCAAGGCTCTCGTAATGATGGTAATGGACTTCGTAATAAACAGACTAAATGACATAGCTTTTAATCATCACAATTCTCCTTCTTGCTCACAAGAATCTTACAAAACTACTAGTAAGAATTACTGAAATGGTGGACATATAATTATAAAGATATTTTATAAAGTGGAGGGAGAAGAGTGCTTTCATTTTCTTTGCAAAATATCCCTGAGCATTTACCCAATTCAACCATGTAAATGTGTATGCATTAGTTTCCCCCTTCTCTCTTCTGCTTTTTATTCTTTACTCTGTCTCTGTACTCAAGTGATCATCATTTCAAAATTTCCTGTATTTTTCAATGATACTTTAAAAAATGTTATCCATTTAGTCCTCCATGTCATACTCTGTTCTCATTTTAAGAAAAAGGAATATCAAAAGTAAAATAATGTTTTTCAATAGTTTTAAGAAATGGAAAGAGACCGAAAAAAAAATTAAGGGAATAACCATATAGCTTATTTGACATTTGTCTGTCACATGAAAAATCAATCTGTTGTGTTGGAAACTATTTCTCTTTTTATATAAAAGAAAAGTCTGAAGAATTTGTGAGTAAATTAGACACCGCAGGGAACTGTGGAGATTCTGAAAGCATTGATTGGAAAGAACTGGGCCTATTCATGATCTTCTTCTGAATTCATACACTTGCATTTCTCAACTATTAGGTATTTTCTCAAAATGCCCAAGAAATGGAAGAAAGGGCTAGGGGTTCCAAATGAGAGAGCAGAAGGAAAGTTAAAACTTCTCTGGTTTCAATATTTATATATCACTATTATTATTTTATGCTGCATTAAACATTTCATTTTCCCATTTAATAAATCTTTTCCCAGAAAAAATAATTATTGTGAAAAAGGAAGTCATAGATTTTGGACAAAATTTGCCAGAAGCCATTGGAGTTTTCCAGGGAAGATTCAGTTAAGACAAGGGATGTTCCTTGAAATCATAATCGGGACTGAGAAAGAAAAGAAAGTTTTTATCTGAGAAATATATGCTCCCTTTAATTATCAGGTCCAGAGAAGATTGAAATGTGACAGCATGTGACAGCAGTCACCTAACTTCTCTCTTGAGGTAAATAATTACCTCTTGAAGCCACCTGCTATATGAGCTCAAGACTAAATGAGGCCAAGTAACTATAAAGTGCCATATGCTGGACACTATAACTCATGCCCAATGGTTCAATAATATATAGCCAGTCACTAATCAATGTTACCTCTGTAAACAAGTGAGAATTCTTGTCAGACAACTTTGTATCAGCCCACATCTTGTTTCCTTTAGCCTTTAAAAACCTGTTTGTACCAAAGGCTGAGCAGAGCATTCCCCAAGACCATTTGGAAGTGTGTACCAGGCAGCTGTCTTCAACCTTGACCCAAATAAACTATCGATGTTAATTTTGTCTTAGTTAGTGGAGGAAGATGGCAGGATAGAAGGTCCACCAATTGTCCCCTCCACAAGGATACCAAGCTAACAATAATCTACATAGAAAAACACCTTCATAAGAACCAAAAATTGGATGAGCACTGATGGTACCTGGTTTTAACTTCATATATGTCTGAAAGAGGCACGGAAATGGTAGCAAAAACAGTCCTGAATCACTGATGCCACCCCTCTGCCAGCACTTCCACCCCTCCAGCAATTGCAAGGCATTGAACCCAGTGCTGTTCTGTTAGATCAGTGTATTCTTACGCTGCTATAAAGAACTTCCTGATACTGGGTAATTTATTTAAAAAAAAAAAGAGGTTTAATTGACTCATAGTTCTGCATGGCTGGGGAGGCCTCAGGAAACTTATATTCATGGTGAAAGGGGAAGCAAACATGTCCTGATTCACATGGTGGCAGGAGAGAAAAGAATGAGAACCAAGTAAAGTGGGAAGCCCCTTATAAAACCATCAGATCTCATGAAAACTTACTATCACAAGAATAGCATGAGGGAAACTGCCCCCATGATTAAATTACCTCCCACTGGTCTCTCCTACTACACATATGGGGATTATGGGAACTACAATTCAAGATGAGATTTGGGTGGGGACACAGCCAAACCGTATGAAGCAGAAAACCAGCCCTAGCTAGAGGGGAATCACTGGTCCCAGTGGTCCAAACTTGAGTTCTCACAAACCTTGCCACTGATGTCTACAGTACTCCATGTCTCCAAGTAACTTTGAAAGGCAGGCTAAGTCACAATGACTGCAACCCTTAGGCAAGTCCTAGTGCTGAACTAAGCCTAGAGACAGGGTACTAGGGGGGCATGCAACCTACTGAGACACCAACTGGGGGCAGCCAAGGGAATGATGGCATCACCCCTTCCCTAACCCCAGGCTGCACAGCTCATGGTTCCAGGAGAGATCCCTTTCCCTCCACTTGAGGATAGGAGATGGAAGAGTGGGGAGGACTTTGTCCTGCATCTTGGATACCAGCTCAGACACAGCTGGATAGGACACTGATCAGAATTGTGAGGCCCCTGTTCCAGGCCCTAGCTTCCAGACAACATTTCTAGGCACAACCTGGGCCATAAGGGAAGCCACTTCCTTGAAGGAAAGGACTCAGTCCTGGCAGCATTTATTACCTGCTAACTGAAGAGCCTTTGGGCCTTGAATAACTACTAACAATACCCAAGTACTATGTTGAGGGCCTTGGGTGAGCCTCTGAGACTTGTTGGCTTCAGGTACCAGCATGGGCACAGAGGGTTAGAGTACCAAGTGGGCTCCTGACATCCCTAACTCCAGGACTTGACTCTTGGATAGCATTCTTGGACATGTCCTGGGCCAGAGAGGAACCCAATGCCCTGAAGGGTGAGTCTCAGGCCAGGAAGCATTCACCACAAACTGACTTCAGAGACCTTGGGCTTTAAGGGAACATTAGCTATAATTTGGCAGTACTCCTAGTGGCCTGGGGTGACAGTGGCTATGGAGTGAGTCTCCTCTGCCTTTGGAAAAAGGAGGAAAGAGTGGGAAGGGCTGCAGCTAGTGGTTTGAGTGCCAGCTCAGCTGCAACACAATAGAACAGCAGGTAGACTTCTAAGATTTTTTGACTCTAGTTCCTGACCCCCAGATGGCACCTCTGGACCAACCTGGGGCCTAGAGACCTCACTGAACTGAAGAAAAGGGCACAGGCCTAGCTGGCTTAGCCACTTGCTTATTGTAGAGCCTCAGGACCTTGAGCAAACATAGGCAGTGGCCAGGGAGCATTTACAGCAGGCCTTGGATGAAACCCAGTGATGTGCTGGCTTTAGGTTTGATACAGTGCAGTTATAGTGGTGGTGGCAAGAGACTCCATTTGTTTGGGACAAAGTAAGGGAAGAGAACAAGAGTCTCTGCCTGGTAATCCAAATAATTCTCATGGATCTTGTCCCAGACCATCAGAGCAGTACCTCTGAAAGTCTGCAAGAACAACAACATTACTTGGCTTGGAGTGCTCCCTAAAGCAGATACAGCTTAGATTATAACACCCAAGTCCTTTCAAATATCTAGAAGCCTTCCCAAGAAGGACAGCTACAAAGTGAAGACTACAGGCTGGGAAGATTACAATAAATACCTAACTCTTCAATAGCCAGATACTGAAGAACATCTACTAGCATCACACCATCCAGGAAAGCATGACCTCACCAAATGAACTAAATAAGGCACCAGGGACCAATCCTGGAGAAATACAGATATGTGACTTTTCAGGAAGAGAATCTAAAATAGCTGTGTTGAGGAAGCTCAAAGAAATTCAAGATAACACAGAGAAGAAATTCAGAATTGTATCAGATACATTTAACAAAGAGATGGAAAAAATTTAAAAGAAGTAGAAATTCTAGAGTTGAAAAATGCAATTGACATACTGAAGAATGCATCAGAGGCATTTAGTAGCAGAATTGATTAAGTAGAAGAAAGAATTAATGAGCCTGAAGACAGGCTAGTTGAAAATATACAGTCAGAGGAGAAAAAAGAAGAATAAAACATAATGAAGCATGCCTATAGGATCTAGAAAATATCCTCAAAATAACAAATCTAAGAGTTATTGCCCTTAAAGAGGAACTAGAGAAAGAAATAAAGGTAGAGAGTTTATTCAAAGGGATAATAACAAAGAACTTCTTGAACCTAGAGAAAGCCATCAATATCCAAGTACAAGATGGTTTTAGAGCACCAAACAGTTTTCAGCCAAAGAAGACTACCTCAAGGCATTTAATAATCAAACTCCCAAAGGTCAAGGATAAAAAAGGATCCTAAAAGCAGCAAAATAAAAGAAACAAATAATATACAATGAAACTTCAATACATCTGACAGCAGACTTTTCAGTGGAAAACTTAACAGGCCAAGGTAGAGTAGCATGACATATTTAAAATTCTAAAGAAAATAAAAGTTTACCCTAAAATAGCATATGCAGCAAAAACAGCCTTTAAACGTGAAGGAGAAATAAATACATTCCCAGACAAACAAAAGCTGAGGCATTTCATCAATACCAGATCTGTCCTACAAGAAATGCTAAAGGAAATCCTTCAATCGGAAAGAAAAGGACATTCATGTGCAGTATATAATCACCTAAAGGTACAGAACTCTCTGGTAATAGTAAGTACAGAGAAAAACACAGGATTATTATAACACTGTAACTGGGTAAAAACTAGTCTTATCCTAAGTAGAAAGACTAAACAATGAACCAATCAAAAATAATAACTACAACAACTTTTCAAGACATAGTCAGTACAATAAGATATAATCAGAAAGAAAAAACGTTAAAAAATGAGGGGACAACATTTAGGCATAGAATCTTGAATAGTTTTCTTTTTGCTTGTTTGTCTGTTTATGCCCATAGCGTTAAGTTGTTATTAGGTTAAAAAAATGGGTTATGAGATAGTATTTGTAAATCTCATGTTAACTCCAAACCAAAAAACATAATGGATAGAAAAAAATTAAAAGCAAAAAACTATATAATATCACCAGTGAAAATCACCTTCACTAGAGAAAGATAAGAAGAAAAGAAATAAGGAGAAGAAGACCACAAAACAACCAGAAAACAAACAACAAAATGGCAGGAGTAAGTCCTTACTTATCAATAATAACATTGAAAGTAATTGGACTAAACTCTTCAATTAAAAGACATAGATTGGCTGAATGAATGAAAAAAAAACAAGATCCAATGATCTGTTGCCTATAAGAAACACACTTTACCTATAAAGACACACATAGACTAAAAAAAGGATGGAAAGAGATATTTCATGCCAATGGAAACCAAAAAAAAAGAGCAGGATTCACTATACTTGTATCAGAATAAATAGATTTCAAGACCAAAGCTATCAGAAGAGACAAAGAATGTTACTGTATAATGATAAAGGGGTCAATTCAGCAAAAGGATATAACAATTTTACACATATATGCACCCAATGCTGGAGCACCCAGATATATAAAGCAAATATTATTAGAGCTCAAGAGAGAGAGATAGGCCTCAATAAAATAATAACTGGAGACTTCACCACCACCCTTTCAGCATTGAACAGATCTTCCAGATGGAAAATCAACAAAGAAACATTAGATTTAATTTGCACTATAGATCAAATGGATCTAATAGATATTTCCAAATTATTTCATCCAACAGCTACAGAATACACATTTGTTTCCTCAGCACATGGATCATTCTCAGCATAGACCATATATTAGGTCAGAAAACAAGTCTTAAAGCATCCAAAAAAATGAAATAATGTTAAGCATCTTCTCTAACCACAATGGAATAAAACTGGAAATTAATAAGAGGAATTTTAGAAACTATACGAACACATGGAAATTCAACAGTATGCCCCTGAATGACCAGTGGGTCAATAAAGAAATTAAGTAGGAAACTGAAAATTTTCATGAAATGAATGATAATGGAAACACAACATACCAAAACCTATGTGTATTAGGGTTTTCTAGAGGGACAGGGCTAATAGGATAGATATATAGATATATATAAAGGGAAGTGTATTAATGAGTATTGACTCACATGATCACAAGATAATCACTCACGTGATCACAATAGGCCATCTGCAAGCTGAGGGGCAAGGAAGCCAGTCTGAGTCCCAAAACCTCAAAAGTAGGGAAGCTGACAGTGCAGCCTTTTGTCTGTGGTCAAAGTTTCAAGAGTCCCAAAGCTGAAGAACTTGGAGTCCAATGTTTGAGGGCAGGAAGCATCCAGCACAGGAGAAAGATGTAGGCTAGAAGACTAAGCCAGTCTAGTCCTCCTACGTTCCTCTGGCTGCTTTTATCCTAGCTGCACTAGCAGCTAATTAGATGGTGCTCACTCAGATTGAGGGTGGGTCTACATCTCCCAGTTCACTGACTCAAATGTTAATCTCCTTTGGCAACACTCTCACAGACACACCCAGGAACAACACTTCACATCCTTCAATCCAATCAAATTGATACTTAATATTAACCATCACACTATGGGATACAGCAAAAGTAGTACTCAGAGGGAAGTTTATAGCTATAAGTGCCTACATCGAAAAAGAGAAAAAACTTCAAACAAAAAAATCTAACAATGCTTCTTAAAGAACTAGAAAAGCAAGAGCAAACTAAACCCAAAATTAGTAGAATAAAAGAGATAATAAAGATCAGAGCAGAATTCAATGACACTAAAATTAAAATATACAAAAGATCAATGAAACAAAAAGTTGGTTTTTTGAAAAGTTAAACAAAATCGACACATTTTAGCCAGTTTAACTAAGAAAAAAAGAGAACATCCAAATAAATAAAATCAGAAATGAAAAAAGAGACATTACAGCAATTCAAAGGATCATTAGTGGCTACTTTATATGAACAACTATATGCCAATGAATTGGAAAATCTAGAGGAAATGGACAAATTCCTAGATACATACAACCTATGAAGATTGAACCCAAAAGAAATCCAAAACCTGAACAGACCAATAGCAAGTAATAGATCAAAGCCGCAATAAGAAGTCCCCCAGTAAAGAAAAGCCTAGGACCTGATGGCTTCACTGCTGAGCTCTATCATACATTTAAAGAAGAACTAATACCAACCCTACTCAAACTATTCGAAAAAATAGAGGAGGAGGGAATACTTCCAAACTCATTCTAGGAGTCCAGTGTTACCTGAATACCAAAACCAGACAGACACATATAAAAGAGAAAGAAAGGAAGAAAGACAGAAAGAAAGACTGAAAGAAAGAAAGAGGGAGAGAGAGAGAGAGAAAGAAAAAAGAAAGAAAGAGAGAAAGAAAGAGAGAGAGAGAAAGAAAGAAAGAAAAAAAAGAAAGAAAAGAAAGAAAAGAAAAGAAAAGAAATTAATTACAGGCCAATATCTCTATTGAATATTGATGCAAAAATCCTCAACAAAATATGAGCAAACTGAGTTCAAGAATACATCAGAAAGATTGTTTATTATGACCAAGTGTGATTTATCCCTAGGATACAAGGATGGTACAACATATTCAAATCAATCAATGTGATACATCGTATCAACGGAATGAAGGATAAAACCCATACGGTAATTTTAATTGATGCTGAAAAAGCATTTGATAAAATCCAACATCCCTTCATAATTAAAAACCCTCCACAAACTGAGGGTAGAAGGAATATACCTCAACATAATAAAAGCCATGTGCAACAGACCCACAGCTTGTATCATACTGAATGGTGAAAACCTGAAGGCCTTTCTTTTAAGATAAGAAGACAAGGATGCCAACCATCACCACTGTTATTCAACATAGTAATGGAAGTCCTAGCTAGAGCAATTAGCAAGAGAAAGATGTAAAGGGCACACAAATTGGAAAAGAAGAAATCAAATTATCCTTGTTTGCAAATAATACGATCTTATATTTGGAAAAACTTAAAATACTCTACAAGACAACTATTGAAACTGATAAACAAGTTCAGTAAAGCTGCAGGATACAAAGTCAACATACAAAAATCAGTAGCATTTCTACATGCCAACAGTGAACAATGTGAAAAAGAAATTTTAAGAAGTAATCAATTTTCAATGGCCACACATAAAATTTAATACCTAGGAATTAACTTAACCAAAAGAAGTCAAAGATCTCTATAATGAAAACTATAAAACACTGATGAAATAAATTGAAGAGGACACTAAAAAGGAAAAATATTCCATGTTGATAAATGGAAAGAAAAAATATTGTTGAAGTGTCCATACTACTCAAAGCAATCTACAGATTCAGTGCAATCTGTATCAAAATACCAATGACATTCTTCACAGAAATAGAAAAAACAATCCTAAAATTTACACAAAACCACAAAAGACCCAGAATAGCCAAAGCTATCCTAAGCAAAAAGATCAAATCTGGTGGAATCACATTACCTGATTTCAAATTATACTACAGAGTTAAAGCAACCAAAACATCATTGTACTGGCATAAAACAGGCTGTGGTGTAATATGAAATATATTTTATCTTTGTCCCCTTTTCCTGCCACAAAGCTCCTAAAATCCCTAAAATTTTCTGAGTGATAGGAGTATCTTTTGTTGTTCATAATGAGCCCCTCTGATAACTCTTGAGTTTATTCTAACGAAGTTACTTACTAGGGTGAGGCCCCTAGACAGACTCAGGATAGAGTTAATCACCAGAAAGACCAAGTAGTTAGAATTTAGTGGGTTGAAACTTTCAGCCTTACCCACTAATCTCTGAGGAAGTGAGAGGACTAGGAGAGCATGCTTTATAAAAACTCTTGAACGACAAGATTTGAAAAGTTTTTGATTTGCTGAACACACTGAAGTGCTGGGAGGGTGACTTGCCCAGAGTAAGCATGGAAGTTTCGAGGCCCTCTATAACCTTGCCCTATCCATCTCATCATCTGGCTGTTAATCTGCATGCTTTGTAATATCCTTTATAATAAACTGATAAATGTAAATAAGTGTCTCAGTGAGTCTTATGAGCCATCTTAACAAGTTAATTGAACCTAAGGTGGGGGGATCTCTGGAATGGCAGTTTGTAACTGGCCAGTCAGGTGTATAGGTGACAATCTACTACTTTTGATTGGTGTCTGAAGTAGAGACAGTCTTGTGGGACTGAGGCCTCAACTAGCTATTTTATAATAGCTAGTGTCAGAATTGAATTGAACTATAGCACAACCAGTTGGTGTCCACTGGAGAATTTCCTGATGTGTGGAGAAAGCTGCTCTCCACACACATACACAAATGTTTGACCACAGAAGTTCTCTTTGTTGAGTCTGAAAGTAGAGAGAAAAAAAATTGCATTTTTTTTCTTTTACACAGGCCTTCACCAGGCATCAGCTCTTGGACTTCTCAACCTCCAGAACTGTGTGAAATAAATTTCTGTTGTTGATAAGCCACGCCTGTCTATATTTTTTTTGCTGTAACAGCCTGAATGGACTAACACAACCACCTTGGTGAGATTTATTCTTAGATATTTTATTCTTTTAGATGTTCTTATAGATTTTTTTTCTTATTTTCCTTTCAGGTTGTTTCTTGCTGGCGTATAGAAACACAACTGAGTTTTTTATGTTTATCTTGCCTTGCAACTTTGCCAAATTTATTAGCTTTAATTGTGTGTGTGTGTGTGTGTGTATGTGTGTGTGTGTATGTCTGTATTCTTCAAGATGTACAACATTTAGAATACTGCCATATATGAACAGACATCATTTTACTTCTTCCTTTCCAAAAATTTTCTGCTCAGACCAATGTCTTGGAGATTTTCCCCAATGTTTTCTTGTAGTGGTTTCATAGTTTGAGGTCTTAGACTTAAGTCTTTAACCCGTTTTGATTTGATTTTTGTACATGGTGAGAGAGAGGGTTCTAGTTTCATTCTTCTGCACATGGATATCGAGTTTTCCCAGCACCATTTATTGAGGAGACTATCTCTTCCATGGTGTATGCTCTCGACAACTTTGTCAAAAATGATTTCACTGTAGGTTTGCGGATTTGTTTCTGGGTTCTCTATTCTATTCTATTGGTCTACGTGTCTGTTTTTATGCCTGTTCATAGATAGCACCTTCTCACTGTGTACATACATGGTTGAAGGGGTAAGACTGCTCTCTGGGGCTACTGTTTTAAGGGCACTAATTCCACTCATGAGGGCTCCATCCTCATGATCTAATCACTTCCCAATGACCCCAACTCCTAGTTCCGTCACTTTGGAGATTAGGTTTGAGTATATTAACTTTGGGAAGACACAAACATTCAGACCATAGCAGAGGTGAACTAGTTATAAATTGAAAACTAAAAACATTGCTGAAAGAAATTAAGGAAAGATCTAATTAAAATAAAAAGACATCCCATATTCATGAATTGGAAGACAATATAGTTAAGATGGCAATATTCCTCCAAATGATAGATTTGATGTAGGGATTCAGTGTAATCCCTATCAAAATTCCAATTACCTTCTCAGTAGAAATGGAAAAGCTGATTCTCAAATTCATATTGAATTTCAGGGGTCCCAGAATAGCCAAAATAATATTGAAAAAGAGATAGAGGACACTTACTTTCTTATTTGAAAACTTACTAAGAAAATACATAATCAAAACAGTGTGATATTGGCATAAGAATAGACATCTGGATCAGTGGAACAGAATTGAAAGTGTGGAAATAAAACCAAATATCTGTGGCCAATTGATTTTCAACAAGGATGCCAAAACCATTCAATGGTGGAAAGAATAGTTTTTTCAACAAATGGTACTGGGACAACTGGATAACCACATGGAAAAGAATAAAGATGGATTGCTGCTTCACTCCATATACAAATTTCAACTCACAATGGAACAACAACCTAAATATAATAGCTAAATGTATAAAAATATTAGAGGAAAACATAGGGGTAAATCTTCATGACCTCAGATTTGTAATAGATTTCTTGACATCAAAACATGAGCAACAAAAGAAAAAAATGGATAAATTGGACTTCATAAATTTTAAAAACTTCCATTTTTCAAAGGACGCAAGACAATTTAAAGAAAAAACACAGAATGGGAGGAAATATTTGCAAATCATATATTTGGCAGGAGTTTCGTATTCAGAATACATAAAAATCTCCTGTGACTCCACAACAAAAAAGGCAAACATCCCAATTAAAAAAAATGAGCAGTGGACTTGACATTTCCCCAAAAAGATATTCGAGTGGCCAACAAGTACATGAAACTTTCAATTTTCTTGGTTCTTAAGGAAATGCGAATCAAAACTAAAATGAAATACTATTTTACAGCCTTAAGATGACTATAAATAACAAGCATTAGTGAGAATATGGAGAAATAGAAACTTGTATATTGCTGATGAGAATGTAAACTAGTGCAGCCTCTGTGGAAAACAGTTTGGTGGTTTTTCAAACGTTATACATATCATTACCACATGACCCAGAAATTACACTCTTATGTATATGCCCAAGAGAAATAAAAATATGTCCACACAGAAACTTATACACAGATGTTCATATCAGGATTATTCATAAAACCAAAAAGCAGAAACAACCCAAAAGTCCATCTGTAGATGAATAAACAAACTGTGGTATACACATGGAACCGATTATTATTCCACCATAAAAAGCAATGAAATACTGATACATGCTACAACTTGAACAAACCTTGAAACATGCTAAGTGAAAGAAGCCAGACACAAAAGGTCGCATATAGTATGATTCCTTTTATATCAAATATTAAAAAGAGGCAAGTTTATAGAAACAGAAAGTAGATTAGTGATTGCCAGGGGATAGGGACGTGATTAGAATAAATAGATTGTGATTAGAATAGAGACTGATTGTAAGGTGTGTAAATTTCACCTCAATTAGAAAAAAAAATAAAGAATGGGCTGAGGCGGGCAGATCACAAGGTCGGGAGTTTGAGACCAGCCTGACCAACATGGTGAAACCCGTCTCTACTAAAAACACAAAAATTAGCTGGGCATGGTGGTGCATGCCTATAATCCCAGCTACTCAGGAGTCTGAGGCAGGAGAATCTCTTGAACCCGGGAGGTGGAGGTTGCAGTGAGCCGAGATTGCGTCATTGCACTCCACCCTGCGAGCCTGGGTGACAGAGCGAAACTCCATCTCAAAAAAAAAAAGAATGTTATTACCTGAAAGTTTAGAGGTTGCATTGGCTTTAGGTTTTGTTTGATTGGGGCTTTCTGCCTTATAGTTGTGCCCTTCTGTGGTGCAGCTGTGTCCTGAGAATGACTTTCCACATGGGGGCAGTGACTTCCATTAAAAAACCCCAAACGTAACAGGGAAACAAATCAACAAAAATTCCTACACAGAACAAAGGACATTTTTATTTACAGATTCTCAAATTCCTGACATTCCCTTTGATTGGCTAAGCTTAGTCTTATGGAAATCTCTGAGCCAATCACTTTGGCCAGGGTGATAGAATATTTTAATTGATTTAACCTTGGTCATGGAATCCATTTCTAGACCTGAAATACAGCAGGTTTTCTCTCAACTATTTTTTTTTTTTTAATGAAAATGAGAACTATTGGAAAGGAAAAAGAAAAAAGGGTGTTGTAATGCAACCAAGAAGTTATCAATATATGCATAATGGCAACATATATTCATTTAAAATGAAATTGTTTCTACCTTCTTTAATCAGAAATAAATTCAGCACAACATTTTTTAAAAGTGTGGAAGTTACTCAGAAGTAAAGTTTACAGAAATTTGGCTTATTTAGCAGGCTATGTCTGAATATTTTATTTAAACTCACAGTAACATGATTGTTAATGCTTATAATAAACACCCTGAAGTAATATAATACCTCAGAAAGCTATTTGAATCAAATATCTTGTTCAGGACAGTTTTTTCCAAACTTTTTATTTCAAAATAATTTTAGATTCACAGGGAAGTTGCAAAAAGTGTACACGGAGTTTTTGTTTAAACTTCACCAAGTTTTCTTGGATAACATCTTGCAAAATCACAGTGCACTATTCAAACCAGGAAATTGACATTGGAACAATCTACAGAACTTATTCATATTTCACTAGTTTTACATGCACTCTTTTGTTTGTTTGTGTGTGTATAATTTGATGTAAATTTTTTACATCTGGGTTCATGTAACTACCACAACAATCAAGATAAAGACCTGTTTCATCACCACAGTGTGATACTGTGAAATATGTATTTGGCCTTTGTTCCTCATTCCTGAAATCTCCTAAAACACTTGTAGATAGAGGAACTAGGACAATCTTTTATTCTAATATTTGGTCTTTCACCCTGGCTCCTAACACAGAGATCCTAAGCCTGAGTGAAAGGAGCATCTGGCATACAGCTCCTAAATGTCTGGAAATTTCCTAGATGAACAGAAAGAACATCTTTTGTTCTAATGAGGTGACTCTGGGTGGGCTCCTGGATTGTCTCAGGTAAAGGGCTGGTTGCCAGGGGAACCAAGCAGGTAATTAGCTGGAGTTTTCAGGGGAGAGGAGAGACTAAGGTTGCTGAAGGTTGAGTTGACTACCAATAGCCAGTCGTGTATTCAATCATGCCTCTGTGTTGAAGTCTCCATAAAACCCCCAAAGGACAGGGTTTGAAGAGCTTCCAGATGGCTGAACATGGGGAGGTACCTGGAGGATGATGCACCCATAGAGGATGTGGAAGCTCTATGCTCATTCCCACATAGTTTGTCCTACGCATTTCTTCCATTTGGCTGTTTATCTGTATCTTTTGTAATATCTGTTATAATAAATGGGCAAATGTAACTAAACTGTTTCCCTGAGTTCTATGAAACACTCTAGCAAATTAATCAAACCCAAGGAGGAAGTCGCAAGAACTCTGATTCATAGCCGGACAGTCAGAAGCACAGGTCACAACTTGGGGCTTTCGATTGGTGTCTGAAATGGGGGCAGTTTTGTGGGACTGAGTCCTCATCTGTGGGATCTTATGCTATCTCCAGGTAGACAGTGTCAGAGTTGAGTTAAATTTTAAAACACCCAGTTGGTGTCCACTAGAGAATTGCTTGGTGTATGGGAAGATATCCCCACACATCCAGTGTCAGAAGTGCTGTGTTGTGTGAGAGCGGAGATTAAAAAAAAAATGGTATTTTTCCACCTACAAGACTCCTCTAGGCGACACTTTTATAGCTACAATCACCCACTCCTTTAACCCTCCTTAACCCTTGGCAACAACTATTCTGTTCTTCATCTCTGTAATTGTGTTATTTCAAGAATGTTATCTAAAAAGAATCATAGGGTACGTGACATTTTGAGATTAGCTTTTTCTGCTCAGAATAATTCTCTTAAGATCCATTAAAGTTGTTATGTGTATTAACAGTTTGACCTTTTTGTATTTCATGATCTGGATGTCCACAGTTTGTCTAACCATTCAGCATTGAAGGACATCTGGACAGTTTCCAGTTTTTACAAATAAAGGGCTATGAACAATTGTATACAAGTTTTTGTGTGAAAATACATGTTCATTTCTCTAGTATAAATGGCCAGAAGTTAATTCTCTAGGTCATATGGTAGTTGCGTGTTTAGTTCTATTAAAAACTGCCTGACTGTTTCCAGAGTGTCTGTATCATTTACATTCCCAGCAGCAATGTATGATTGATCCAGTTTTTCCACATCCTCATCAGCATTTAGTGTTACCACTATTTTTTATTTTAGCCATTCTGATAGGTATGTAGCAGTATCTCATTGTAGTTTTAATTTGCATTTCCCTAAATGGCTAAGGTTATTTATCATCTATATAGCCTCTCTTCATGTCTTTGGTCCCTTTTCTAACTGGATTTTTTTTAACCATTGAATTTTGAGAGTTCTTTTTCTTTTTCTTTTTATTATTTTTTGAGATGGAGTCTAGCTCTTCACCCAGGCTGGAGTGCAGTGGCATGATCTTGGCTCACTGCAACTCCCGTCTCCCAAGTTCAAGAGATTCTCTTGCCTCAGCCTCCTGAGTAGCTGGGATTACAGGCACGCGCCACCACGCCCAGCTAATTTTTGTATTTTTAGTAGAGATGGAGTTTCACCATGTTGGTCAGGCTGGTCTCGAACTCCTGACCTCGTGATCCACCCACGTCGGCCTCCCAAAGTGTTGGGATTACAGGCATGAGCCACCACACCTGGCCGAGAGTTCTTTATATATTCTAGATGCAAGGCCTTTGATGAATATATGGTTTGAAAATATTTTCTCCAGCCTGGAGCATATCTTTTCATTTGCTTCACATGATCTTTCACAGAGCAAAAGTTTTCATTTTGATGAGATTCAAATTATCAAATTTTCCTTTTATTTATCATGTTTGTAGTGTCATAAGGCACTTTTTAAAAAGTATATATTTTATACTTTTCTGAAAAATGGAAAATCTATGTGAAACATAGATGGACACTAAATGAATCCAAATTATGCAAAACATATTATTCCTTTACTACCTTGAGTATTACATATTCAATACTGAATATTGCATATTGGAGCAACATTTTAAATTACAGATGTTTAATATGACATCGTGCTCATTCTTAACCACATCTTTCAGGAGCACAAAGCAAAAATGAATTTAGTTGTTCTTAAATAATATCTACAAAATAACTATTGCCAATTCACTGGAAAAAAATGGCAAAAGACTATTTTTAAACAGTATGATTTTTGTCTATGGGAAAATTATAATAAGCTAGTTGAAAATGAAAATTTAATTATAATAAGCCCAACAAAATATAGGAGTATCAATTAAAGTTGAATTTCAGATAAATAATAGGTATATTTTTAGTATAAGCATGTCCCAAGTATTTCATGGGACACTTTTAACTCAAAAGTTATTTGCTGTTTTTCTAAAATTAAAATTCATCTGGGTATCCTGTATTTTTATTTGCTAAATCTAGCAACCTTAAATGTAGTATAAATGTTTTAATACAGGAGGTATAATTGGTTATTTATGAAGATCTCACAAATAATATATGTTGAACAAATAACTTCTGTACATTTTAACTTTTTTATTAAAATATTTTTTGTTTATTCAATGTAAGTAGCAATCTTAAAAGCATTTACATTAGAATAAAAAATCATAAAACTAGAATGAACCATCAAGATCGCTCAGTTCAGTTCTCACAATTTATAGATGAGAAAACTGAGACTTAAGAGTCCCACTGTAATTCTAAGGATAAAAGCTGGAATAGATACCCCCTTCCTAACTCCAATCAGTTTCAAAATTCCTTCACAACCTTAAAATGTATGAAGAGCGTAAGCATTTTATAGCCTATGCTACTTAGGGTCCCAATAATTTGGAGCCATTGGATATTTCCCAAGACTTGACAGAACTCACTGTGTCTATATAGAAATCTAAATTAATATATCAAGTAAGTAGAGAAAACTAAAATATAAATGCTAGCTTCTATCAAGTTAATATTTGCTTTGGGAAGGGACAGATATTTCTTAAGATGTGTTAATGAAATTATTGGAGGTTCCAAATGTGAGGGCAAAAAACAAAAGCCTCTTTAGTTTGTTTTCTATCACTAAAATTACTATCACTAAATGTAGAAATAAGAATCAAAAGAAGAATAATTTTAGCAAAGACATTTTCTATAGCTAAGGGTATTCTGCATGGCACATATACGGCATGACTTGTTAAGGGATTGCAGGGGAATACTCTCTTCTATTCTCTCTCTTGGTCCAATGTCTTTTCTTTCTGAAATATTTTTAAAAATCTCTCCATTCCTGTGAAAAGACATATTAGCAAAAGACTTCAGAGACATAATACAAAGTCTCTAAGAAGCACACACATTCTTTTAATATATGCTGTAGTTATTAAGTCAGCCAAGACTCAATGTATTAAATGTTCTTTATAAATATTCATGGGCTCACAGCTATAAAAAAAACTGGAGAAAGGGTTAAAAATGTGCAAGAAGAATTCAGTTTGGTGAAATGCAGAACTGTAAAATAAAAGCAGCCAGACACTGGAGAGTAAGAGATGATAAAAGAAGCAAAGCTGTAAAGGTCAGGTCAAATTGTGAGATGAAGTAATGATGGGTTATTGAGCCTCTACAAATCTGCAGGGGAAAAACTCTGGCTGTGGAGCGTGGGAGGCAATGTTTTCTGCAGCCATCACTCAAAAGAAATATAAAGTTTACATCACCTCAAATGCTAAACTCATTTGTATTTATTCACATGATTTTCCTCTGTGTATTTCTGCTTCGCATACACATATTCTTCCGAAAGAAAACAAAGACTATGTTCTTTTTATGCTTTTTCAGTTTATCCTTTCTTTCCTCTTCTTCAAAATTAGGAATTTAGCTTTCCTAGCACTTTGTGGAATGCATCTTGTCCTTGTACAGGGAGACCTAGCTAACTGAAGGAACAGTTAGTTTTTTGGCTTTTGGCTGATTAAGGGACAGTTGAGACATACAGCAATTGCACCTCTGTCTCTGGGGAGTTGCCACTCATTCCAGTCAAACCACTTCTTATGTGTTTTGATTTTTTTATTGGGGTTTAGGACAGACAGAGAAGCCATATTGTTAGGTTTCTCAAATCTATAGGGTTTAAGCTGTCTTGTCCTTCCTCATCTGGACATTTAATTCAAAAAAAGAGTTTGGAAAGAATCCTAAAAGCGTCACCTTTCAAATTTGCATATCATGTCTTCTCATTTCTTTCTCAATTAATGTGAATCTCTGGGCAAAGCCATATTTATTTTATTGAGGAATTTCTGTGGCAAGAAAGACATGATTAAAACTGTATATATATATATTTTTAACTCTGTCATTTATTTTTCTGTCCCTTGGGAAGCCATTGTATATTTTTAAATATGATTTCTGAATATGATACAAAAAAGGAAAAAATATACTCTTATTATTTCTCCTTTTCCTTTAACTTTCAACATCACTTTGACTGCCCTCATCATTGCTAAAATGAGACTTAAAGTGTCAGAGGACAAGGAAGGAGATTGTGCAAATAGTATTTTTTTTTTTTTTTTTGAGACGGAGTCTCGCTCTTTGGCCCAGGCTGGACTGCGGATTGCAGTGGCACTATCTCAGCTCACTGCAAGCTCCGCCTCCCGGGTTCACGCCATTCTCCTGCCTCAGCCTCCCGAGTAGCTGGGACTACAGGTGCCCGCCACCACGCCTGGCTAATTTTTTGTATTTTTAGTAGAGACGGGGTTTCACTGTGTTAGCCAAGATGGTCTCGATCTCCTGACCTCGTGATCTGCCCGCCTCGGCCTCCCAAAGTGCTGGGATTACAGGCGTGAGCCACCGCGCCCGGCCTGGTATTTATTTTTGTATTTTAAGTTTTTCTGTTGAATCGAAAACTAAGCATAATGTAATAACGGTTTAGCATTAGAAATCACTGGCATAACTACATTTCTAGGGTCTAAAATATATATATTTTTAAATATTACAATTGTACAAAATTATGGAAAATGCATGATATCGGGAAGTAAGGCACGATTAGATTGAAAGTGTAATAAATGTTGAAGATTAGGGTCAAGAATTCTCTGAAACAGGTTTCTGTACATGTAGCCACTTTAATTGAAATATTAAGTATATACCAGCTGAAGTCATAAATGTTGTCGTTAATATGCCAGTAAATGTATTAGATGACTCAGCTGATGCTCAAAGCACCTGCAACAAAGCATTTTTCTTCTATTGACATATCACTTTTTCTGTTATTTTCAAACAAATAAAAGTTTAAAATTAAATGATTATTAGCATAAAAATGTGAAAAATTCCTAACTGGACAGCAGAAAACTCTATTTTAATAAATTTAGAGTGGCTAGTAGGAGAGAAGATTCATCTAACAAAGTCTTTCTCAATTTTTACTGTGTAAACAAATCACCAGAGATCTTTTTAAAATGAAGATTCTGAGTCAGTGACCTGGAGAAGAAGCTGAGATTCTGCATTTCTGGCAGGCTCCCAGCATATGCCAATGCTGCTCGTCCTGGGATCATGCTTTGAATGTCAGGGATCACAAAACAAAGATGTTAATAAAATGCTAACATATGTAAAGAAGAACCATATTACAAATAGGCTAACGCTAACATTTGTTTTACTTTATGATAATGAAGAGAGCATAGTTTGAAAATTCTTGTTATGAAAACATTAAAAATTATTATGTAGGGAATTTTTAGTTTCAATCATTTTATATTGATTGCTCTCTTTTAATAGCTAGAATATTTTGTTTCTTTATGAACATGGACAGTGAAGGACAAGCTGACGTCACATATACAATATTAGGATCTGGATATATGAGTCCAAGTAATATGTATACTGATTATTGACTGTAAAAATTTGACTGAATTAAAAAAATGTTTTTGTCTTCCAGATACAGGATATGATATAGAGTTCTCAACCAGGAGTGATTTGCCCCCCAAGAAATATTTGGCAATATCCAAAGATATTTTTGGTTGTCACAGTTCAAGGGAGTGGGCAGGGAAGTTTACTGCTGGCAACTAATAGGGTAGAGTCCAGAGATGCTGCTAAACATCCTACAGTGCTCCCAACAAAAAGTTATTCAGACAAAATGTAAATAGTAATAAGTTAAGAAACTCTGATGTAGAGGATAAGAGAGGCATAAGATATGATGTTTCTGATTCAGGGTTGTGGAGCTCTTTAAGGATGTAAGATTAATCTAAATGAAATAATTACTGAGCAAGTCTCAAACAGTGTGGTATATAGAGAAGAAAGAACAGAGCAGGACAGTGGGAGGCATCCATGTGCCGAGTAGTAAGAACAATTTGTGGAAGAGGCACTGTGGAAGACAGATGGGTAGGATTTACTTTAATGAATAATAATGGAACAAAAGAATTATACCTTTCCCCTTTCTAAGAAAGTAAAGATGCTTGTTGTCTTCAAAACTGAGATTGTTAGCTTACCTTAAACAAGTTTTGAGAATTAGATTTTAAATATTTTTTATTGAAGGCATTTGAAACCCCAGTTTAATGGCTATGCAGCTATTGACTACAAATGCATTATGAACACATTCACAGTCCTACCCCTCTTTCATCTAACAATATTGCAACTTCCTAAAGAATGTTATTCCCAGTGGAAACACTGAATAAAACAAAATATTTGCTAGAAGTAGAAAACTGACAACTTTAAGTTATATGTGCAATTGATTAGTTTTCATTACATTTCTAATACTTCCATTGAAATATAAACATCTTGGGGGAAAAAGAAAAAGCCTCATCATGGGGAATTGGTAGAGTGGTGAAGTTGTGTTTTCTTCTTATGTAGTAATTTGACTGTTATTCCTGAGAGACATCATATTGTTTATAATAAATTTATAAATATTGTATGTGTTAAATATTATATATGAACGTATATATGAAAACTCATTTTAAATAATAGATTTATATTGTGACATCATGCCCCTACTCTCTAAGATATTTAGAAAATATGCTATGGACGAAGAACATTTGAAATAAAGTTGACCTTCATTATTTGTAGATTTCATGTTGGCTAATTCACCTACTCACTAAAATTTATTTGTACCCTAGAATCAATAATCACAGCATTTTTGTGTTATTTTTGAACATGTGCAGAGCACAAAAAATTTGAGTTGCCTAACATGAACGTTTACAGCTTTGGTGGAACAAAGCAATATTCTGCATTCTTGTTTCAGCTCAAATACCATGAACAAATGTCCTTTTTGCAGTCTATTTAGTGCCAGATTTTTTGCATGATTTTGGATCTGTCGATTTCGCTTTGTAAAATGGCCCACATGTGCGGTGCTGAAGTGCTGTCTAGTTCCAAAGCACAAGAAGGCTGTGATGTACCTTACGGAGAAAATGCATGTGTTGGATAATCTGCATTTAGATATGAGTTATCTAAATGTAGATAAATCTATTATTTAATCTATTATTAAAATTTTTTAAATAACTTTTTTAAAAAAATTAGTGAATCAACTATATATTAAACAAGGTGTCTTTAAACAGAAACACACATAAAACAAAGTTATATTTTCACCTGTTGATGAAAGTATTGTAACGAGAGACTCACAGGAACCTAACTCTGTGTTTCCTCTAGGAGAAATGCTTCAGTATTGGCTAATTCAGTGTTTGAGGGGACTTCATGGAACACAAGTAACCAGAAATAAGAATTGACTGTATTGATATTATATATTTTTTAATAGAATAAACAAGAACCTCATCACCTGCATCATGAACCAGATGGTATCAAGTCTGGCTTGGGTTATTGCAATACCTTCTAATTGGTGTTGTTTTCACTCTTGTCTCTTATGCCTATTCTCCACAGAGGAGATTTTAAGTCAGGTATGTTAGTGCTCTGCTCAAAGCCATGCAGTGGTTTTCCCATCTTTCTTAGGACAAAGCTCAAAGTCCTTAGGATTGACTCTGAGGCTGTCTCCCATACCCTGGCTACACCGCTTTACCTATCAGACCTTATTTCCTACACGTTGCTTCCCTTTGCTTACTCCCGTTCAGCCCCTCTGGTTTCCTTGCTCTTTCTTCCTTGCTCTACATGGCTTACTCCCTCCCCACTTCGAATTCTTTGATTTTTTTTCTCAGCAAGGCTTTCTCTGAGTACCATGTCCAGAATTGCAAACTTCTTCTCTCTTACCCCATATTCTGTATTTCCTTTTCTGCCTTTTTTCTGTAGCACTTAGCATCTTCTAATATGTTTTAAATTTTATTTGTTACTTTTATCTGCAGCTAAAATTGAGAAAGAATATACTTCAGAAAAGAAAATAACATTTTTTAACCTAATTTTGGTAATCTTGCAAAAATTAGGCTCTTTAATGTTCACCAGCTCATAGTTATAACAAGTAATTATTATGAAATTCAAATAGTTATTGCCCAAATTAACTATACTTTTGCATTTACTATTTAAAACATGATATTATGATGCATGAACTATATCTACATACATAGTACACTTTTACACTTACAAAATAATTAAGTAATTTTAGTTTGGGGAATGGAATAATCACCACACATATGCTGAAGACTCCAAAATCCATGTCTCCAGTTCTGTGACCTCTACTGAGCTAAGCTGCCTCATTGATGTTGTTATTTGGAAATATCACAGCACCTCAAGCGCCACACATCCCCAAAGCAGTCTACTGTCTTCTATACATAAAATGTGTTTTTTATCTGTACCTCTCTCCCACTGAGTAGCTATTTTATCTGCCTAGTTTTTTTTATTATTATACTTTAAGTTTTAGGGTACATGTGCACAATGTGCAGGTTAGTTACATATGTATACATGTGCCATGCTGGTGTGCTGCACCCATTAACTCATCATTTAGCATTAGGTATATCTCCTAAAGCTATCCCTCCCCACTCCCCCCACCCCACAACAGTCCCCAGAGTGTGATGTTCTCCTTCCTGTGTCCAGGTGTTCTGATTGTTCAATTCCCACCTATAAGTGAGAATATGCGGTGTTTGGTTTTTTGTTCTTGCGATAGTTTACTGAGAATGATGATTTCCAATTTCATCCATGTCCCTACAAAGGACATGAACTCATCATTTTTTATGGCTGCACAGTATTGCATGGTGTATATGTGCCACATTTTCTTAATCCAGTCTATCATTGTTGGACATTTGGGTTGGTTCCAAGTCTTTGCTATTGTGAATAGTGCCGCAGTAAACATACATGTGCATGTGTCTTTATAGCAGCATGATTTATAGTCCTTTGGGTATATACCCAGTAATGGGATGGCTGGGTCAAATGGTATTTCTAGTTCTAGATCCCTGAGGAATCTCCACAATGGTTGAACTAGTTTACAGTCCCACCAACAGTGTCAAAGTGTTCCTATTTCTCCACATCCTCTCCAGCACCTGTTGTTTCCTGACTTTTTAATGTTTGCCATTCTAACTGGTGTGAGATGTTATCTCATTGTGGTTTTGATTTGCATTTCTCTGATGGCCAGTGATGATGAGCATTTTTTCATGTGTTTTTTGGCTGCATAAATGTCTTCTTTTGAGAAGTGTCTGTTCATGTCCTTTGCCCACTTTTTGATGGGGTTGTTTTTTTCTTGTAAATTTGTTGGTGTTCATTGTAGATTCTGGATATTAGCCCTTTGTCAGATGAGTAGGTTGCGAAAATTTTCTCCCATTTTGTAGGTTGCCTGTTCACTCTGATGGTAGTTTCTTTTGCTGTGCAGAAGCTCTTTAGTTTAATTAGATCCCATTTGTCAATTTTGGCTTTTGTTGCCATTGCTTTTGGTGTTTTAGACATGAAGTCCTTGCCCATGCCTATGTCCTGAATGGTATTGCCTAGGTTTTCTTCTAGGGTTTTTATGGTTTTAGGTCTAACGTTTAAGTCTTTAATCCATCTTGAATTAATTTTTGTATAAGGTGTAAGGAAGGGATCCAGTTTCAGCTTTGTACATATGGCTAGCCAGTTTCCCAGCACCATTTATTAAATAGGGAATCCTTTCCCCATTGCTTGTTTTCTCAGGTTTGTCAAAGATCAGATAGTTGTAGATATGCAGCATTATTTCTGAGGGTTCTGTTCCATTGATCTATATCTCTGTTTTGGTACCAGTACCATGCTGTTTTGGTTACTGCAGCCTTGTAGTATAGTTTGAAGTCGGGTAGCGTGATGTCTCCAGCTTTGTTCTTTTGGCTTAGGATTGACTTGGCGATGCAGGCTCTTTTTTGGTTCCATATGAACTTTAAAGTAGTTTTTTCCCATTCTGTGAAGAAAGTCATTGGTAGCTTGATGGGGATGGCATTGAATCTATAAATTACCTTGGGCAGTATGGCCATTTTCACGATATTGATTTTTCCTATCCATGAGCATGGAATGTTCTTCCATTTGTTTGTATCCTCTTTTATTTCCTTGAGCAGTGGTTTGTAGTTCTCCTTGAAGAGGTCCTTCATGTCCCTTGTAAGTTGGATTCCTAGGTATTTTATTCTCTTTGAAGCAATTGTGAATGGGAGTTCACTCATGATTTGGCTCTCTGTTTGTCTGTTATTGGTGTATAAGAATGCTTGTGATTTTTGCACATTGATTTTGCATCCTGAGACTTTGCTGAAGTTGCTTATCAGCTTAAGGAGATTTTGGGCTGAGACGATGGGGTTTTCTAGATACATAATCATGTCATCTGCAAACAGGGACAATTTGACTTCCTCTTTTCCTAATTGAATACCCTTTATTTCCTTCTTCTGCCTAATTGCCCTGGCCAGAACTTCCAACACTATGTTGAATAGGAGTGGTGAGAGAGGGCATCCCTGTCTTGTGTCAGTTTTCAAAGGGAATGCTTCCAGTTTTTGCCCATTCAGTATGCTATTGGCTGTCGGTTTGTCATAGATAGCTCTTATTATTTTGAGATACGTCCCATCAATACCTAATTTATTGAGAGTTTTTAGCATGAAGTGTTGTTGAATTTTTTCAAAGGCCTTTTCTGCATCTATTGAGATAATCATGTGGTTTTTGTCTTTGTTTCTGTTTATATGCTGGGTTACATTTATTGATTTGTGTATATTGAACCAGCCTTGCATCCCAGGGATGAAGCCCACTTGATCATGATGGATAAGCTTTTTGATGTGCTGCTGGATTCGGTTTGCCAGTATTTTATTGAGGATTTTTGCATCAATGTTCATCAAGGATATTTGTCTAAAATTCTCTTTTTTGGTTGTGTCTCTGACCAGCTTTGGTATCAGGATGATGCTGGCCTCATAAAGTGAGTTAGGGAGGATTCCCTCTTTTTCTATTGATTGGAATAGTTTCAGAAGGAATGGTACCAGTTCCTCCTTGTACTTCTGGTAGAATTCGGCTTTGAATCCATCTGGTCCTGGACTCTTTTTGGTTGGTAAGCTATTGATTATTGCCACAATTTCAGAGCCTGTTATTGGTCTATTCAGAGATTCAACTTCTTCCTGGTTTAGTCTTGGGAGGGTGTATGTGTCCAGGAATTTATCCATTTCTTCTAGATTTTCTAGTTTATTTGCATAGAGGTGTTTGTAGTATTCTCTGATGGTAGTTTGTATTTCTGTGGGCTCAGTGGTGATATCCCCTTTATCATTTGTTATTGTGTCTATTTGATTCTTTTCTCTTTTCTTCTTTATTAGTCTATCTAGGAGTCTATCAATTTTGTTGATCCTTTCAAAAAACCAGCTCCTGGATTCATTAATTTTTTGAAGGGTTTTTTTTTAACTTCCAGGATACATGTGTAGGATGTGCAGCTTTGTTACATAGGTAAACATGTGCCATGGTGGTTTGCTGCACCTATCAACCCATCACCTAGTTATTAAGCCCCACATGTATTAGCTATTTATCATGATGCTCTCCCTACCCAAACCCCCACAACAGGTCCCAGTATGTGTTGTTCCCCTCCCTGTATTTATGTGTTCTCATTGTTCAGCTCCCACTTATAAATGAGAATGTGCAGTCTTTGGTTTTCTGTTCCTGTGTTAGTTTGCTGAGGATAATAGCTCCCAGCTCCATACATGTCCCTGAAAAGGACATGATCTCAATCCTCTTTATGGCTGCATAGTATTCCATGGTGTATATGTACCATATTTTCTTTATCCAATCTATCATTGATGGGCATTTGGGTTGATTCCATGTCTTTGCTATTGTGAATAGTGCTGCAATGAACATATGCATGCATGTATCTTTATAACAGAATGATTTATATTCCTTTGGGTACATAGACAGTAATGGGATTGCTGGGTCAAATGGCATTTTCGGTTCTAGGTCTTTGAGGAATCGCCACACTGTCTTTCACAATGTTTGAACTAATTTACATTCCCACCAACAGTGTGAAAGCATTCCTATTTCCCCACAGCCTTGCCAGCATCTGTTGTTTTTTGACTTTTTAATAATCATTCTGACTGGCATGAGAGGGTATCTCATTGTGGTTTTAATTTGCATTTCTGTAATGGTCAGTGATGTATTTGCCCAGCTTCTTAAACCTGAAGTCTCTCCACTATTCTTTCCTTTTGCTGTTTGCATCAAATCAAATATCAGTTCTTGTAGATCTCATCCTTTCCACCAGTCCTGTTTTCTCCATCGTTATAGTCTGTCTTTGGTCCAGGCTCTCATTATTGACTTGCTAGAGTCCCTGCCTCTAGACAATGCTGCCTCCCAATCAGTGCATACTGTTGTTTTAAAATACGTATATCTTATAATGTCTCTCTTTGTTTTAAAAACTTACAATGGTTTTCTGTTTCACCAGAGATGAAGCTTAAATTTCTAACAAAGACATTCATTTTATTTTTCTTTTTTCAGCCTTTAAACATTTGCTTTTCTTTTTTAACCTCTCTTCTTTCTTACTACAACAAACTTCTTTCAATATCTTTAAAGCGAGACATGGTTTCTCTTGACTAGAGACTTGTGCACGGTTTCTCTTGATTAGAGACTTTGCCTGGAATTCAATCCCCAAATCCCTCAGCGTTGTTTACTCTACTACTTAACTGGCAGCTTAATCTCAGCTTAAATGTAGCCTGACTTCCCTAGACTAGATTAGGTGGTTCTGCTGTTTCCATAGCATCCTATAGTACTTAACACACTTCATTGGTACTACTTGTTGAGCTCTCTGCAAGCACAAGAACTCCATGGGTCTGTCTCTAGTGCTTAACATACTGTCCAGCACATATTATGTACTCAGCATATATTTGATTGACTGAAAAAAATAGAAAAATGGTAACACAAATGCTTTAAAACATGTTTTCAAAAAATTGTGAAAGGCATTGGAAAATGTGTCAGTAAAATAGTATAAAGTACATGCTATAAAATTAGATAGTGTGATTTAATTTTGTAAAATAAGAAATATTTTGTACACTGAAAAAAGATCTAAAGTATACCAAAATGTTCATAGAGAATAAGTTTTGTTGGCAAAAATGTATGTAATTTTTTTCTCATATACTTTTTTCAATTTTGTAGAGTAAGTGTGATCTGTTCTATGATTAGAAAAAATAAATTACTTTAAAAGGAAAATCAGTCTTCTTTTCTCTATTCTATGAAAGATATAAGAAGGATTTTAAAAAATTATTTTACAATTTATTCTTTTAGTCATTTTTGATGGAAGGTGATGGAAGATTTTGTCTTTTTTTTTTTTTTTTTTTTTTTTTTTTTGAGACGATGTCTTGCTCTGTTGCCCAGGCTGGAGTGCAGTGTCATGATGTTGGCTCACTGCAACCTCCACCTACTGGGTTTAAGTGATTTTCCTGCCTCAGCCTCTTGAGTAGCTGGGATTATAGGCATGCACCACCATGCCTGGCTAAGTTTTGTATTTTTAGTAGAGACAGGTTTTCACCATGTTGGTCAGGCTGGTCTTGAACTCCAGAACTCGTGATCCGCCTGCCTCAGCCTCCCAAAGTGCTGGGATTACAGGTGTGAGTCACCGGGTTTTATCATTTTTAATTCTCTTTTTGACCCATAAAACATGTTTTAAACTATGATTAGAAATATTTGCTAAAATAACTCCTCCTAGACTTGGAGACACCCATAAGCACTAATGGAATAATCCTGTTCTAACTGACCTGTAGTTTTTTAAAGAACTATTTTTCTCCCAAGTAATTACTTCTGAAAACATTCAAAGGGTTTAGAATTTTTTCCTCAATATCCAAATTTAAAGAAGGTAAAATTACAAAAAATACATCATCTTTGCTACCTCACAACTCAGCAATTCTGGCTGGCTTATTAATCTTTCAACCCTCTCTTCTTTTTTATCTCTCAATTACATATTACAAATTATTTTGAAATGAAAAATATATTCTTTATTGAGGTTAATTTTAACTTGTTTATTCCACAAATGTTTGTAGAGCACCTTCATATGCTTGGCAGAGTGTATGCTCTGAGAATGCAAAGTGAATAAGATACAGTCTCTGTCTTTCAGACACAGTCTATTGTGGGAGAAATACTATAAATATTATAAATATAGTCAGTCTATTGCAGGAGAAAAATTGTAAAAAGATACATGATAATATTATACAACAATATAATTCCTGTTGTATAGGGAGAACTAAGTGCCTAAGGCTCAAAAGAGATTAAAGAGGCTGCTATGGAAGCCTGTACCTTTTATATCTTCTCTGGTCCAAGCCACCATTGTCTCTAACCTAGATTAGTATAATAGCCCTCAACTGGTCACTCCACTTCTACCCCTGCATCTCTGTAGTCTATTCACAACACAGCAGCCAGAAACATATTTTCAAAAGTGTGCCAGAGCATGTCCCTCCTCTGCTGTAAACACTTCAATGGCTCCTTTGCTAAGAATGAAAACCTGAGTCATTATAAGTTGTTCCTGACTGACACTCCCTGACCCCCAGCCCCTTGCCCCAAATTACCTCTTTATCCTCACCTCTTCCTATTCTCATTTTGATCAATCTGCTGTAGTCACATGTATTAGTTTGTTCTCACACTGATGTAAAGAAATGCCTGAGTCTGGATAATTTTTAAAGAAAAGAGGTTTAATCGGCTTATGGTTCTGAAGACTGTACAGGAAGCATGATTCTGGCACATGCTCAGCTTCTGGGGAGGCCTCAGGAAATGTACAATCATGGAAGAAGGTGAAGGGGAAGTAGGTACATCTCAGATGGCTGGAGCAGAAGGGGTTGGGGGAGGAGCTACACACTTTTAAACAATCGGATCTCATGAGAACTCACTCACTATCATGAGAAGAGCACTGAAGGGATTGTGCTAACTCCTTTATGAGAATTCCACCCCCATTATCCAATCACCCCCGCACCAGGTCCCACCTCCAACACTGGGGATTAAAATTCAACATGAGATTTGGTAAGGATACAGACACAGTCCATATTATTCCACCTCTGGCCCCTACAAATCTCATATCTTTCTCACATTGCAAAACATAATCATCTTTTCTCAACAGTCCCTCAGAGTCTTAACTCATTCTAGCTTAACTCAAAAGTCCAAAGCCTCAACTGAGCCAAGCCTAGTCCCTTCTGCTTATGAGCCTATAAAGTCAAAACCAAATTAATTACTTTCAAGGTACAATGGGGTTACAGGCATTGGGTAAATACTCCCATTCCAAAGGGAAGAAATCAGCCAAAAGAAAGTGGCTACAGGCCCCATGCAAGTCCAAAACCCAGCAGGGGAGTCATTAAACCTTAAAGCTCCAAAATAATCTCTTTTAACTCCATGTCACAGATCTAGGGCATGCTGGTGCAAGGAGTGGGCTCCCAAAGCCTTTGGCAACTCTGCCCCTGTGACTTTGCAGAGTTCAGTCCCCACAGCTGCTTTTGCGGGCTGGCATTTAGTGCCTAAAGCTCTTCCAGGCAAAAGGTGCAAGCTGTTGGTAGATCCACCATTCTGGAGTCCGGAGGATGGTGGCCTTCTTCTCACAGCTCCACTAGGCAGTGCCCCAGTTGGGACTCTATATGAGGGCTCCAACCCCACATTTCCCCTCTGCACTGCCCTAGTAGAGGTTTTCCATGAGGGCTCCACCCCTGCAGCAGGCTTTTGCTTAAACATCCAGGCTTTTCCAATATACCCTCTGAAATCTAGGTGGAGGCTCCCAAGCCTCAACTCTTGCACTCTGTGCACCCACAGACCTAATACCATGTGAAAACCAGCAGGGCTTATGGCTTGCACCCTCTGAAGCAGTGGCCTGAGGTGTAGCTGGGCCCCTTTTAGCCGTGGTTGAAGCTGGAGTGACTGGAATGTGGGGAGCAGTGTCCTATGGATGTACAGGGCAGCGGGGCACTTGCTCTGGCCCACAAAACCTTTCAGTCCTCCTAGGCCTCAGGCCTGTGATGGGAGGGGCTGTCATGAAGGGTCTCTGAAAAGTCTTCCAGGTCTCTTCCCCATTATCTTGGTTATCAGTACTTACCTTCTTTTAGTTATCCAAATTTCTGAAGCCAACTTGAATTCCTCCCCCAAAAATAGGCTTTTCTTTTTTAACACAAGGCGAGGCTGCAAATTTTTCAAACCTTTACACTCTGCTTCCCCTTTAAATAGAAGTTCAAGTTTTACATGATTTTTTTGCTCATGCTTATGAGCATAGATTTTTGGAAGCAGCCAGGCCATATCTTGAACACTTTGCTGCTTAGAAATTTTTTTTCACCAGGTACCATAGATCATCACTCTCAAGTTCAAAGTTCCTCAGATCTCTAGGGCAGGGACAAAATGCAGTTTTGTGCTTTGCTAATGCATAATAAAAGTGACCTTTTTTCCAGTTCCCAATAAGTTACTCATCTTCACCTGAAACCTCATCAGCCTGGCCATCTCTGTCTATATCACTGTATCAGCATTTGGGTCACAACAGTTTACCAAGTCTCTAGGAAGTTCCAAACTTTCCCTCATCTTCCTGTCTTCTTTTGAGCCCTCCACACCCTTTCAACCTCTGCCTGTTACATTCAGAAGTCACTTCCACATTTTCAGATATCTTTATAGCATTATCCCAGTACCAATTTTCTGTTATTAGTCCATGCTTGGATTGCATTGCTACAAAGAAATACCTAAGACTGGGTAATTTATGAAGAAAAGAGGTTTAATTGGCTCACAGTTCCACAGGCTGTACAGGAAACATGATTTTGACATCTGCTTGGCTTCTGGGAGGCCTCAGGAAATGTACAATTATGGCAGGTGGCAAAGGGGAAGAAGACACATCTTACATGGCTAGAGCAGAAGGAAGAGAGAGATAGGGAAGGTACTTCACACTTTTAAACAATCAGATTTCATGGGAACTTACTCACTCACTATCATGAGAACAGCACCAATGGGATGGTGCTAGCCCATTCATGAGATCTCCACCTTGCCAACCCAATCACCTCCCATCAGGCCCCACCTCCAACACTGGGGATTACAATTCAATATGTGATTTGGTGGGGATGCAGACCCAAAATCATATCATCACATTAATCACTTTGCTGTTCTTTGAACCTACCTTTGGACCTCAAACTTTTTGCTGGAAAGTTCTTTACCCAATATTATTTTCTTGACCATTCTTTTTGCTGGAAAGTTCTTGACCCAATATTATTTTCTCCTTACTTCCTTTAAGTCTTGATTACATTACCTTTTCTATCAGACTATCCTGATAAAAAAGGCTATCAGGCTGTAATCTAAAGTTCCAACTTGTATACCCAAACACACCCAATTTCCATATCAAGCTTTATTTTTCCTATTTGCATTGCACTTACCACCATTTAACATTCTTATTGTCTACCTCTCCCTCCCTAAGGTCAGAGATTATTTTATTCACTAACATATTGAATACACTTACAAAAGATCTTGTACATATTAAATGCTCAATAAGTATCTGACAAAGGAAAAACTGACTATTGTTTTTGTTATAGTAAAATATTAGTTTTTACTAAGTCAGAATTTGTAATAATTCTTACGGAATTTATTTGATATTTATATATTCTATTAAAAATTGTGATTCATTTGTAACTACATAACATTTCAAAAAGTTGGAATTGGAAAAAAGACTAATCTCTTTAAGAGAACTGTTTTAAGCAATTTTTATTGAATGCATATGTAGACAATAAGTAAAATGTTTATTTCTAGATGAAAACCCCTACCTAAGATTTTGAGTTACTAGTTGGTATAATTATATTTTACTGAAAGCAATAAAATTACATTTACTTTTAACTGGTGCATTCTTCAGCCTTGAACTAATTTTGGACTGCCCATCTCAGCTAATGGCTCTGCATTAAAGGGTATTTAAAATAATATTAAAATAAATCATATACAGATATAAAATGAAGTGTTGCAAGGATACATTCTTCAGCTTTATATATCTCTGACATTCTAGGAGTCTTTGTTTCCTGATGAAAGACACTAATAACAGCCTTTAGTCTCCCTAATGGCTAAAGCATGTTCTGTTGGAAAGGCACATTAAGGATGTATTAATTATTTGAGGGAACTGGAGTACCCATTATTTCACTACAATATTTCAGTGACCTTAAAAAAAGGAAATGGAAACCATGAACTAATAGCAAAGCCCTGTGACATTAAATGATGTCTGCAAAGCCTGGAAAACTTTACAAATGCCGTAAGGATTCAATAGTTGTAGAAATCTGTCTCTTTAAATTAAATCGATGTGCTGCCTCCACTGAACAATCAAGCAGGTGGGAATTGTGAATAGACTTGAACTGTGTGTCCCGTGATGTAAGGGTTTACCGTGAACTCCTCACACCTTGGGCAATTCTCCATTGCATGTGATGACATGTATTTTTCAAGCAGTTGCACAGAAGTATAGTGTATTCCTGGCCATGGACCTATGATCCTGGGCCCATTACCATGGAATCAGCACTGATTTTCAATAGGACCCTAGCTTTTACTATGTGGCATTTAAAGAAGTTAACTTTGTTAAAAAAAAAAATACCTGGTGAGAATAAAGATCTCTCTGTAATTTAAAAAGGCCCAGAGCTCCTCCCATTCTTCCTGAGAGAAATTACCTAACTGCTAATGTGCTATGCAAAGAAGTTTTCCAAACTGCCTACTGCCTAATTAGCTTTATTAAAAATACATGTCAGACTTGTTTTGAGTGGTGGGTTTATTATCTAGAAAATGATACAAACACAGGATTACTGAATGAAAACAAGTAAACAAATTCTCAACTTATCATAAAATTTGTTAGGATTAACCAAAAGAACATATTAGTATGTTGGTCTTACTTGTCAAATTGTCAAGCAGGTGGGAGGTTTCAATTATGAGCTCTTGGTTTGAAATGAAGAGAGTGTGAGCTTCCTTCCACCCCCGATTATTTTATGTTCATCTTAATTTTCAGTTCTCAAAAATATTTCAGAGTGAGATGCTGGTTTTTTCTTCTTCCTCTTTCAAAGTTTCATCAATTAGTATTTGACATGTGTATGGAATGATAAGTATTAGTTAACATAATAAGGAAGAAGGAAAGCAATTTGCCTTTCACAGCCATACATTTGAAAAACTAATTGGTGCTTATAAATCTTTCCTAATCTCCTGCTTTTCCCCAAAAAATGAGTTTGTGCTCTAAAATTATGAGACTTGAAGAGTAATTGTAGTATACCCTGTAAATGGTAATATGGGTTTGGCTGAATTAATTCTACTGAGCATTTGTCCACCTGTTTCCACCATTACTGATTAAATGAACTCAGTCTAGATTGAATATGAACTAATGTATGCAATATTGTTATAAAACCTTCAAGATGCTACAAATTGAAGATACTCTAACTGGTAAAAATATCCTCCCTGGAAAGACAGGGAATCAAATCCTTATTCTGTCAGAATGTGTCTTTCTGCATGGTGTTGGGTAAATAAAACTTATCTTTTCTTAGTTTCTTCTTCTTAGCATAGATATAATAATAGTACATTCAAAATGAATTGTAAGAATTATGGAGCATCCTTGCATTGCACTCCACAAGGTTTGGACTTCATCTTGATCTTCTCTTCTACACCTGCTTTGGCCTTCAAAGGATCTACATTGACTTTTGATGCAGATACCAAGGACAGATTATAGCTATTTGCTAGTGTAATTGTCAGACGAATAACATAAACCTTGGTTACCTGATCAGTGTGGCAAAATATGTCATTTTTTATAGTTATATCTTTGAATACTCTATTTCCTTTGTTTGCACGGGATTATTCTTGCATAAATCTTAGTTCACTTGAGGCAAGTTTTTAAAGAACAACTGGAATATTTCTGGGTTGAAGACTAAAATGTTCTGACTAAATCTTAGAATAGTTTTCTTTTCTCATATATCAATGTTATGAGAAAAGTGGTTAGATTATATGGATGAATATGAAAAAGCTTACATAAAAATCTGGAGAATACTGTCATACATATGAATTCTAGTTTACTTATAAATACGACATATGTATTCTAGCTTGCTTATAAAATTTTAGCCTTTCCTAGCCTCAAGAAAAATGAATGACTCCTCTAATCTAGGAATAAGTTAGCACAAAATTTAACCACCACCACCACTACCTCATTAATGTCACACTTCTCCTATCCTTCTCATACAACCCCAAAGCAAAGTGAACAAAGCAAAACAAACAAACAAAAAACCCTAAGGTAAATAACCAAGAAACTACTATCAACACCAATATGTCAACTACCATTTTGAAGAATATCATTGTTATTGTTACAACAATCTATTAAAAAGGATTCACTTATCTTCATTTGACCAATAAAGAAACCTAGTTTCAGACGTTAAGTTACATGCTCAAGAATTAAAGGTGATAAGTGGTAGGATCAGGTTTTAAACCCTAATTTAAAAACTGGTGCTCATTCTATTTTCATATCCCTAAAACATTGTTTTTAGAATTATTAAACTGGTTTTAATGTAAAGAAAAAAAACCTTGTGCTCATTCCATTCTATCGTGGATTTCTTTCAATAACTACCTTGCCCACTGTGGAGTGTTACTATAAGCATTCAATAAAATAATGTGTTTGAAGGCATCCTAAAATACTGTAAAATTCTCTGCACACATGTTACTTATATAGGTGGTATTTCCTTTCTTGGAGATTTCATGAGAAACTAAGCCAAGTTTAAACAATATGGTATAATTAAAAAAAAACTTGACTTTTAGAATCAAATTGGGGGTAAAAATTAGGTCCTACCGGGATATTATTTTACACTTTATGTAACAGTGGAGGGAAAACTGGGGCTTTGCCTTTGTCCTTATTTTCACTCACAACATACTCTACCACAGCTGGCTCCTTCCTCATGACTCAAATCCCAGCCCTAAATTCTCAGAGACCCTTCCCTGAAAACCCTGCTTAATGTCCCTATTTCCACTCAGCTATTCTATATCTTTCCTCTAGTTTTAATGTTTTAATAACATTTGGTATTATTTAAATTACTGGTTTTTGTTACTATTGTTTGCTTGCTTACTGTCTTCTCCTGGGAATCTTGTCTTTTTTGGCTGTACATGTACCCCTTGGTGGACAGTTGATGTTTAATAAATATTTGTCAGAAGACTATCAGCCTATTAGGACACTTCAGTTCCATTTTGAGGTCAACCATTAATTATTTGTAGGATATAACAAATTACTCTGAACCTTAGATTCTTATCTTTTAAAATAGTGAAACTCTAGAGTCTACAGAGATACATTCTTGTCACATAGAGTATTGTCTTAAAATAAGAAAATGTGAGTCAATTGAACAGAGCACACAAATCTCTTTCGACTTTAAAGTTTGATGTATCTAAATCTTTGATGTGTAGCTTACATGTAATCGGTTTACATGTAATCACATAGAAATATATTCAAATATGTACAAAAACATTGAGATTTTGAATCCCTATGAATCTTTTCTATCCTTCTATTAACCATTTGTACTCTTTATGATCTGGACATTCTGTTAAGTTGATACTGCGTGGTATTTTTTAAAAAGTGTCTTTTCTTAGAAGTCTAGTCATGACCTTGATTAAAATTATGATTGATGCTCAATAGTGGCAGACTCTAAATAATTCTGCCCTTTGTCTGCCTTTGTCATTTTATTTACATTTGTCATGACTTGCAATCTTTTCAGACAGTGATCACCCACTCCTTGCTATTTCTTTCCATCAGAATTATTGCTTGCATATCACCTTTTAAATAAAACAGCAAGTTAGGCTTCTGTAAGGATAACACTGTGTTTAAAAGTAATTAAATAAAGTGAAGAACATAAGATTTTTGATGGTGACTCTGTTGAAATATTTGCCAAAACACATTTTATTACTGAATTAAAGGATCATGCACCAGTAGCATAGAAAGACTAAAAAGGAAACTCAGTGAGAATCACTGAATTCAATATTTGTTTTTCAAGTTATGACTGATAAGTTGTTTTAGGATTTAGAATTTACAAAATAGACTTTGGGGTGCACTCCTTTTAACTTCTTCTCCTTTAGCGGTTGCAATTATTTGTCTAAAAGAAGTCCTTGAAGGGGTTGGTTGATAGCAAACTGTATTTCTATTTCCAGTGATTTCCTAATTTTAATTTTTTTATAGTTTTTACATCCACAGAAAACATTTTTTACATTACATACACAATATTAGGTATTCACAATTCTTGTTTTATGACACATTTACATTATTGGTCTACATATGGTCTCTATATATCCATCATAAAATAAGCACCCAAAATTTCATCACCCAACACAAAAAGTAGAATATTGATAATAACTAATAACCACCTAGAAAGTCTTCCTCTAGCCTGTCCATATGATCTCAAACCTGTTTGCCTCATAAACTTACCTGCTACCACTTTTACCCACCTGCTCTTTCCTACCCTGATTTTCATTCTCACCACAACCCTCCTGTTCAGCTATTACCTTTAATCCACAATCTATATCTTGCTAAAATAAGTGAAGGCTCTTTGGTTGTAAATGACAGAAATTGATTCTAGTTAATAAGAATTAATTAGAATTATACTTAATATAATTGAATGGAATTAAACAGAATTAACTAAAATTAAACTAATTCTAATTAATCAGAGAAAAACAATTGTTGTGAGAGGGCTTAAGCAATGGAAAGAGAGGCTGAGAACCAAGCTACAGAAAGACAGGAATTATAGTAACTACAGCAGAATCACACAAGTGGATTTTTTGGAGCATGAAGGGATCAAGGAGTGGTGAGGGCATGATTCAACGCCAATGCTCTTAAATGTGTGATTTGTCCAGTGGAAGTCATGTACCACCATTAGCCTAGGAAGAGAGCAGGGTATCTTGATAAACTGTCCCACCAGACTATATCCAACAAAAGAACAGGCTTCAAAAGCAAATTTGGGTTGCTTTTCATAAAGAAGGAGAAGAAATATTGAGGCCAAAGGCAGCACAAATTCACACCAGAAATACTTTCTTCACTCCAGACTCTTGAACTACCATCTTAACGCAAATTGATAATTCCTAGCTGAATTAAACTTTGCAATCTTTGACCTATAGCTCAGTCACCTTATTCCACTCCTGTTAATGTTGAACTACACAGAATTAACGGTATTTGTTTGTACCTACAAAATGATAATTTTGCATGGTTTAAATAAATATAGCTGCATAAAGAGTAGAATCAGAGTAGAAGTGACTCACTACATAGTTATGGTCACATTTTCCTCTTTCTAGTTACTACAAGAAGAGCTCACTGTTTATTTCAAATTGTTGCAATCTATAACTTATTTAGAGTAGACATTCTCAAGTAGTTTTCAAAGACATAGTGGAACAGTATGGACTGCTGGGTCACACAGATTTAGTTCGGAGTGCCTATAGTGGGTACTATGTGTGTGACCTCAGGGAAATTATTTAACTTCTCTAAGACTTGGTTTCTACATCTAGTAAACAGGGACAACTAATGTTTCTCATCTCACATTGTCCTGAGTATTGAATGAGATTACACATTTAAAATGATTAGCACAAAGTCTGGTACAAGGAAGCATGGAAGCAATGTTAGTTATTGTTATTGAATAATGACATGTATAACCTTTGCAATATGAAAATTCTCATATTAAAAGCTGCAATCAGCTCTGTTAATCGAGGCTGAAAACTGAATTTATTTGGTGGGGCAAGCATTCCTTTAGTTAGGTTGAATCCATTTTGGTCAAAAGAATAAACTACGCACACTGCTTCAGGGACTTCTGCAAACTGAGAAATTAAGTGTTTTGTTTAACAAGGAGAATGATTCTATTCACAGGACAGTGCTCTTGCACAATCAGGAAAATGTGTGTATTTGTGAGTGTGCACCTGTGGGGATGTGTTTTCTAATTGTGAATTTATAGTGAACTGCTCTGTAAATTATCAATTGTGACTAAGATTCACATATGTGCTCTATCCAAGTAATGCTCTTAGATTAGGACCAGAAACTCCATTACTAATCCTGTACACATCCATTATTTTTCATTAACATGTGAGATATTTTTTCTTCACTTTGATTATCTGAATCTTTCAAACAAAAATTTTTACTTGTAATATAGGAATAACATGGTCATTTGTAACTCAGAGAGTTGTCGTAAGTCTGCAATAAGGTAACAAATGCACAGTGATGTTTTATGTATCATAAATCACCTTATACAATAAGCTACTATTACTATTTTATATTTATATTGTTCAACTCAAAGGCAATATAAAGTAGTAGTTAAGAGTATAAACTCTAGAGCCACACTACCTGAATTCAAATCCGAACTTCACCACTTTGGGCAAGAGACTTGAACTTAGAGTGGTTCATTTTCCTCATCTCTAAGTTGAGGATAATAATAATACCCTTCTCAGATGGCTGTTTTTAGAATTAAATGATTTCATTTATGAAAAGTACTTATAACAATGCCTGACATAAAATAAATGATATGTAATTATTTGTATTGTTTTTATTGTCTTCTTTCTTAAAGCTGATACATTGAGTTCTACTTTTTACAGTCATTTCAGGATTGGTGATTACAGCTTGCACCACACTGTCATGCCTTGTTATATGTTGTCCTAAAATTATATCATTGGGTGAATTATTCATGTCTTCATGTCTTATTTTTGCATGTGAATTATCTGGTCCAATGGAGTTAGGTAATTCTGTCTGCATTTTGTTATTTCCCAAAGGAACTAATAATTCTCTCTCATATGAATTAAAACCTCTCTTCCATTATATTTCACTTATATATTGGTTTCTGCCAGTCATTTTGTAGTTTTTATCTTGACAGAAAAGCATTCAAATTTGCCAGACTACATTGATGTACATTTGGTGTACAGTTCAAAGTCTAGTTTTAAATCTGAAGGACTTTACACAGTGAATAATAGCTAAGGTTGTTGAGCCTCCATGAAAAGATATTCAAAGTTTAGTTCTGTCAGACCAACGTGGCTACTGATGTCATAGATAAGATTATACAAACATCTTCAAAAAATCCACACCTCAAACTTTTACTTTGAGGAAGAGTGTCAATTCTTGGCAAAAATGAGCAAACACACAGTTACACACACACACACACACACACACACACACACACTCCAAAATGAAAACAAAAAGACATTAAACTGAACTTTCAAACAATCATTTCAAGATAATTTCCTAAAAATCTGACCTGAAGCTTTTGTGATTATGAAGCATATTTTTCAAGGTAGTAAGATATATTTTAATATTTTAAAGATATTCTTTAACATTTTTAGCTTGTTTAGTAACTCTTAAGTATTAGACATATGATATTTATATATTTAGACATATGATAAATTGGCCTCCTTTTGAACTCTCATTGTGTTAAAATTGTTTACTTTTTTAAAAATAAATCTTTTATTTCTAAATAGAAATAGAAATAAATTTTCTTTTAAAATTCTATGATAGTAGAGGCGTATAAAATAAATCTTTAAAAATTTAACATATTTTAGATTCAGAGGGTACATGTGCAGGTTTCTTACATGGGTATATTGCATGATGCTGAGGTTTGGGGTACTGTTGATCCCATCACACAGGCAGTGAGCATAATGCCCAATAGGTAGTTTTTCAGCCCTTCTTCCCTCCCTTCCCCCTCTAGTAGTCCCCAGTATCTATTGTTCCCGTCTTTAGGTCCATGTGCACCCAATATTTAGCTCCCACTTGCATTTCTGTATTAATTTACCTAAGATAATGGCCTCCAGCTGCATCCATGTTTCTACAAAGGACATAATTTTGTTCATTTTCATGACTGCATACCATTTCATGGTGTATATGTACCACATTTTCTTTATCCAGTCTGTCATTGATGGGCATCCAGATTGATTCCATGTCTCTGCTATTGTGAATAGTGTTGTGATGAACATATGCATCCATGTGTCTTTACAGTAGAATGATTTATATTCTTTTGGGTTTGTACTCAGTAATGGGATTGCTGTGTTGAATGGTAGCTCTGTTTTAAGTTCTTTGAGAAATTTTCAAACTGCTTCCCACAGAGGCTGAACTGATTTACATTCCTACCAGCAGTTTATAAGCATTCTTTTTCCTCCACAACCTTCTCAACATCTGTTATTTTTTGACCTTTTAGTAATCACTATTCTAACTGGTGTAAGATCATATCTCATTGTGGTTTTCATTTGCATTTCTCTAATGATTATTGATGATGTTGAGCATTTTTTATATGCTTGTTGGCTGCATATATGTCTTTTTTTGAGAAGTGTCTGTTCATGTCCTTTGCCCACTTTTTAATGAGGATATTTGTCATTTGCTTGTGAATTGTTTAGGTTCCTTATAGATTCTGGATATTAGACCTTTGTCAGATGCATAATTTGAAATTATTTTCTCTGTCATTGGTTTAATTTGTTAATGATAGATAACTGGGGTATTAACATGGATAAAATTTGTAAGAAACTGATATCAGAGAGAAATGCCATGCTATATCCACATTGTGGTGTTTTATAAGTATTAATAAGTAGTTCTCTTTACAATAATAAATTCACTCATTCAACAAATATTTATTGTGTTTCACCTATGTTTACACACCCTTACATGTACTGAAGGTAGAGCAATGAAAAAAAATTTAAAAAGTACTTGCTTTGAGGAACTTATATTCTAGTGAGGGAGGTGAATAACAAACAATAAACAGGTAAATATATTATGGAGTCATTTAGTAATAAATGCTATGGAGAAAAATAAAGCAGGAAGGGGAAATAAAGTTCTGATAGAGGGAATTGCTGGTTCAGGGAAAACCTTTATTAGACAATGTCAATTGAACAGAAGCCTGGAAAAAATGAGGGAGAAACTGTGCTGATAGATGGGTGTGAAGCATTCCAGGCAGAGGCTACAGTGGTGCAAAGGTCATGAGATGAGAGTAGGATAGGGATATTTAAGGAACAGGATGATGGAGGGAAGTAGGCAAGGGAAGAAGGGTAGGAAGTGAGATCAGAAAAGGTACTGGGCTACACGGCACCATGGTCTTTGTAGGGCATTACAAAGACTTTGACTTTTTTGTATGTGAGATGGAAAGCTACTGGGGTTTTGAGCAGAGGAATGATATGATCTGTATAAAGTTTAAGCAATACATTTGGCTGATACTGGACATATTAAAAGATGGGAAATCTATAGGCTGAAAAATTTGAATGGCCGAGTTGGGCAAGGGTTCAGTCTGGGAGGCATTCAATGCAAGCAAGAATTGTCATTGTCATTTTAGATATTCTTTAAGAATAAGCAAAATTTTTAGAAGGGTTGATAGGTATTAAGGTGTCAATGTGCTATGCCTTCTCAAATTATTACATGTTATACCAACATCCTTATAAAGAATAATATTTTTTCTGAAAGGGAAAGTATGCTGGGTATAAAAGGCTTGGAATAAAGATTTTCTGATGTTCTTAAACACAGTAATAATATATCAAGCCAAATAAATTACCACTTTTTCTTTAATTTTTCTGATGGGAGAACAAATTGAATCTACACTAACTTTAAGAGACCTATAAATTCTATCAGAGAAGTCAAGAAATAAAATATTAATAAAATTACAATTTAAATATGGATTTTGTAAGAAGATGATCATGAGATGTGACCAAATTTATATGCACAATTAAAAGCCTAATTTGGGTCATTGTTTCATTTTCTGTGGCCTTTACAGTATTAATGCTGCAATAGAAAAAGAAGATTCAAGTTAATTCAGTAGAGAGTCAAACGCTGGCCACTGTAAATACAACTCTTGATTACTTCATTGGTAAAGGTAAATCATTGTGAAAGATTTCTGACAAAATCAGAATCCCCTTTTCCTGCTTAACCTTGCCCTTTCCCTTTCTTTTTGTATTGTGAGAATCAATACCTCCAATATTTGGTGCTGAAATATTAATTTCCCATGTCATAAAACATCCCAGTCTCTTCAGCAAATTTTAAGTTCTCTAGTGTGATTGTGGCTTACTAGAGATTGTGGCTTATTGATTCTGTGTTATTGTTCATTACATGTAAATATTGTGATGATGTTTAAGATGATAAGGTACTAAATAAATAAAAGTTTTGATTACTTACTCTTTATAGTTGATGCTGAGTTATAATTATTCGGGTATAGATCTGCTTAGTTGAGCAAATTAAAACCACTAATTTCCTTGAAAATGTAGAATGATTTTAGACAGATATTCTTCCACACATCTTTAATAGCATCTTATTTTGTTACTTATGTCTCAAGGAGCTAACAAATAATCTTTTATTAAATTTTTGATCTCAGGCACAGTGCTGGGTGCTTAGGAGAAGAAATGAATCACAGGTCCTTGCTCTTTAGGCACTTGTTGCATAACACAAAGGAACCATTTTTCTAAGATTCAAGGTTTTTCTTTTGCTATTTATAATTTTAAAATTCTGTTGAAGAATTAAATTTAATTAGCATTAATGAGAACCCACTTTTTCTCAGGGCCTTCCTTGGTTCAAGGGAGTATAAAAAGACACACTCCCTATTCTCATGGAGGTAACCATGGCTGACTAGAGAACAACATAGGGTGACTCTGGTTGATCCTGAGAGTGGATGATGACTGAATAATGCAGGAGCTCAGAAAGAGGTAGGACCATTATGGTTTTTGCTTGGTCAGCAGTCATAAGGACATGGTTCTAGAACTATAGTCTGAAGTATGAGAAGTCTGTGAAATGTAAGGAAAGCATTTCAGAGATTGAGTCTATTGAGAATAAGAAACCTTCGCTACACTTGGATGTGGTAAAAATAGATGGGGTTATATAAGCACCATAATGAGTAATAAGTGCCTTGATATTACCCCACTCCCCCTACCATTCTCCCAGCCTTGCAGTGAACTGACTGCTGAATTATATATTTTCTTTTTTGGTAAAAAATTAAATAGTTATTTTTGCATCAGGGAGATATTGCAGAAGTTTTCACCCATCATTCGTCACTTTCCTCTGACTTAAAAATATGGAGCACAAGTTATCCTGACCGCCTTTCACTTAATAACAACGCTTT